>NC_000023.11:90947390-91250420 GCF_000001405.40 Homo sapiens | reverse complement strand
GGCAGGCAGATCACGAGGTCAGGAGATTGAGACCATGCTGGCTAACACAGTGAAACCCCGTCTCTACTAAAAATACAAAAAAACATAGCCGGGCACGGAGCGGGCGCCTGTAGTCCCAGCTACTTGGGAGGCTGAGGCAGGAAAATGGCGTGAACCCGGGAGGCGGAGCTTACAGTGAGCAGAGATAGCGCCACTGCACTCCAGCCTGGACGACAGAGGGAGACTCAGTATCAAAAAAAAAAAAAGAATCAGAGGGGTAGATGATTCTTCAAATGTTTAAATATCACCGAAAATTCACAAGGGATATTTAAAAAAAAAAAAAAAAAAAAAAAAACAGAAAAATATGGCCCATTCAAAGGAACAAAAATAAATCTCCAGAAATAGTCTCTGAGGAAACACATGCTAAGACTTAATAAATGAAGGCTTTAAACAACTGTCTTAAATAGGTAGGGGGAAACATACACAAAGAAATAAATAAAAATAAGAAAATGATACATGAAGTAAATGAGAATATCAACAAAGAGATAGAAATTACTTAAAAACAAACAGAAATTCATGAGCCGAAAAATACAATAGGTTTACTGAAAAATTCACTAGAATGATAAAATAGACAACTCAAAAAGGCAGAGAAAATAATCAGTGAACTTGAAAACAGGTCATTAGAAATTATGAAGCCTGAGGGAAAAAAATGAATACAAAAAAAATACTTGTAGCACAGTATAAACCAGACAAATATATAAGTCATGAAAGTCTTTGAAGGAAAAGAGAAGTAGAAAAAGGAGCAGAAAGCTTATTTAAAGAAATAATGGCTGAAAACTTCCCAAACTTAAGGAAAGACATGAATACACAAATGCAAGAAGTTTAATTAACTCCAAATAGGATTAACTGAAAGACACCCACATTATGTCAAGAGACAAATCAATGAGAGAATTCTGAAAGCAGCAAGAGAAAAATGACTTGTCACATTCAAGGGATTCCCCATAAGATTTCACTGGATTTCTCAGCAGAAACTTTGCAGGCCAGGGGCACTGAGATAACATATCACTGTTGGCTGTGGCTTCTGCAATCATATTTGCACTTCCCATTTGCCCCCGCATTCTGCTCAGAAAAAAATCATGCTCAGTCAAAATTAATACAAATTTCAGCAAGGAGCCTCCTTCACCCTGTGGCCCCTCTGCAATTCCACTGGCTGCCTTCCCTGAGGACTGCTATGAAATATAGCTCTTCAAAAAGATCAATATATTTAACTATTATTCAGCTAAATTAAGAAAATAGAAGACTCAAAAACCTAAAACCAGAAATAAGAGGGGAACATTACCTAAGTGGGATTTATACCAGGGATGCAAGGATGGTTCAACATATGAAAATTAATGTATATGATATGCTATATCAACGGAATAAAGGACAAAAACCAGGAATAATTTCAATTGATGCTGAAAAAAATGTGATAAATGTCAACTTCCCTTCATGATAAAAACTCTAAAAACAAACTGGGTACAGAAAGAACATACCCCAACATAATAAAAGCCATATATGAGAAACCTATGGCAAGTATCATACTGAATGGGTAAAAACAGAAATCCTTTTCTAAGTTCAGGAACACGACAAGGATGCCCACTTTTACCAATGTTATTCAATAATATAGTCCTTGAAGTCCTAGCTAGAACAGTCAGATAAGAGAAGGAAATAAAGGGAATACAAATTGGAATGGAAGAAGTGAGATTATCCCTGTTTGCAGATGATATGATCTTATATTTGGAAAAACCTGAAGACTCCACCAAAAAACTATTAGAAAGACATTCAGTAAAGTTGCAGGATACAACATCAACATACAAAAATTATTGAAATTTCTATATGCCAACAGTGACCATTATGAAAAAAATAATCTTACGATAACTACAAGTAAAATAAAATACATAGGAATAAACTTAACCAAAGAAGTGAAAGATTCTACAATAAAAACTATAAAACACTGATGCAAGAAATAGAAGAAGACACACAAATATGGAAAGATATTCCATGTTCACTGATTGAAATAATATTATTAAAATGTCACGCTATGCAAAGCAAACTACAGATCCAATGCAATCCTTATCAAAATACTAATGACATTTTTCAGGGAAATAAATAATTATAAAATTTATATAGAACTACAAAATTCCTCCTAGAATAGTCAATGCTATCCTGAGCAAAACAACAAAACTGGAGGAATCACATTACCTGACCTCAAATTATACCACAGAGCTACATTAATAAAAATGGCATAGTACTGGCATAAAAACAGACACATAGGCAAATGAATCAGAATAAAGATCCTAGAGCCAAATCCATACACCTACAGTGAACTCATTTTTAACAAATGTACCAAGAACATACATAGGGGAAAGAGCAGTCTCCTCCATAAATGTTGCTGGAAAAAAACTGTATATCCATATGCAGAAGAATGAAACCAGACTTTTATCTCTTGCTATATATAAAAATAAAATCAAAATGGACTAAATACTTAAATATAATACCTCACATTATAAAACTCCTACAAGAAAACATTGAAGAAACTCTCTAGGACATTGATCTTGGCAAAGATGTCTTGAGTAGTAGCTCACAAACACCAGTCAGCAAAGCAAAAATGAACAAATGGGTTCTCATCTAGTTAAAAAACCTTCTGCACAGCAAAGGAAAAAAAGAAAGTATCTTCAATAAACACTTTCAAGAAACACTTTGAAATGTTCAAGAAAGTGAAGAGACAACCCATAGAATGGGAGAAAATATTTCTAAACTACCAATTTGACAAGGGATTTATAACCATAATATATAAGAAGCTCAAACAACTCTATAGGAAATATTCTAATACTCTGATTAAAAAATGGAAAAAAAATCTGAATAGGCATTTCTGAACAGAAGACATAAAAAAGGCAAACAGGTATATGAAAAGGTGCTCAACATCATTGATCATCACAAAATGCAAATTAAAACTATAGTGAGGTGTCATCTCAATCCAGTTAAGATGGCTTTTATCTAAAAGTCAGCCAATAACAAATTCTGGCAAGGCTGCAGAGAAAAGGGAACCCTTATACACTGTTGGTGGGAATGTAAGTTAGCACAACCACTGGGGAGAACAGTTTAGAAGTTCCCCAGAAAACTAAAAATAGAGCTACCATATGTTCCAGCTCCTAGGTATATACATCCCACTCCTAGGTATATACCCAAAAGAAAGGAAATCAGTATATCCAAGTGATGTCTCCACTTCTATGTTCATTGCAGCCCTATTCGCAATAGCTGAGATTTGGAAGCAACCTAAGTGTCCATCAACAGATAAACAGATGGACAGATAAACAACAGACAAAGAAAATGTAGTATATATATTACACCATGGAATACTACTCAGCCATAAAACAGAATGAGATCCTGTTATTTTCAACAACATAGATGGAACTGGGGGTCACTATGTTAACTGAAATAAGTCAGGCACAGAAAGGTAAACTTCACATGTTATCACTTATTTGTGAAAGCTAAAAATTAAAATAATTGAACTCATGGAGATACAGAGAAGAGAGACTGGGAAGTGTAGTGGGGTGGGGGTGGGGGTGGGGTTGAGAGGAAGTGGAGATGGTTAATGGGTACAAAAAATAGTCTGAAAGAATGAATAAGATCTAGTATGTCCTAGCATAGCAGATGGACTATAGTAAAAAATAATTTCATTGTACACTTTAAAATTACTAAAATAGTTTAATTGGATTATTTGTAACACAAAGAATAAGTGCTTGTGGTCATAGATTCCCTATTTACCCTGATGTGATTATTACACTTTGCATGGCTATATCAAAATATCTCACGTAGTCCAAAAGTATATATACCTACTATGTACACACAAAAGTTAAATACTTAAAAAAAATGTGCTAGTTGTTTTCAGTTTCTGAGACTAAGTCTACCTTCTGGTCTTCTGGTCTTTTCTGGTCATAGGCATGGTCTTTCTAGAAAGGTCTCTGATTGGGACCTTGATTTGTTTTAGTCTCCTGGGTCCTTTAGGAAATCTAGTTCTGCCCTTTAAATGTTCTAGCTTAGTTTGCTAACTTCTTACCTCTGATTGATTCAGTACTGGCACACGGCCATATACTTGGAGAATGTATTTATTTCCTAAGCCCAGAAAAATCAGGAAGACTTTTTTCTGCCTTTCATAAACTTTCTGCTTAGTTTTCTAGCCACCTGCACTACACCAGAATTAAGGAAATGTCTCATATTGAATCTTGACTTTGTGTTTTGGTTTCTTTAATTGTTCAATTTGCCATATTAGCCAGCTGCAAAGAACCACAGAAAGCTTTTCTGATTTTCCTGTTAGCAGGGGCATTCTGCCTAGGGTAGTTTGCAACCTGGGAAAGTCGGATACATTTGGTACACAGAGAATAGGTATACTCCCAGGGAAGTAATAACTGGAGATAATCAACTCATCCCAGAAAATGCCTCCCACACCTTTTAAAAAATATATTTTAGTTCGCTTACTTATCCTTGCTTTTACATCTCTGATTCCTTTAAAAATATGTTTTGTAATTTATCAGGCTGTTTCTACTTGTTGTGGTGGTACTATTGGCCTGAAACTACAAACATGTTATTCAGAATCAGAAGTCAGATCATGGGAATTGTAGGGTTTTCTTTTCTTTTCTTTTCTTTTTTTTTTTTTTTTGCACATTTTTCAATTATATGGTTTAAAATTATTTACTTATTGCCAGTTTCCTACATGATAAACTTGTTTTTGAAAACATCTTGCTTTTTCAGTAAACACTCTCTTTTTATAATCTATTTTCTTTCTAAATGTTTTTTAAACATGGAAGTAGAGGCTGGGCTGAGAAAAAAATGGCAGATAAGAGACAGGACTAATGTGCAGCTCCCACTTGAACAGACAGAAGAGTGTATGGAGACTCATGTTGTGAACTTTTGCTCCAAAAACCATTGCAAGAACATACCAGGAAAACCAAAAGAATTCACAGACACTTTGAAATAAGCAGCTTGCTGCTGCAAACTCTGTGAGACAGTCAAAAAACTGTGAGTCCCCAAAGTGTGAGAGGGGGGAAAATCTGACTGCAAATAAACATCCTCACTGGAGTAACTAAAAATCCAGATCATGGGAGAAGGAACTAACCTTACCTAGAGCTGAAATGGATTTAGGGAGATGAGCAAAATACAAAAGTAGAAGTAGCAGGCAGTGGGAAGAGCCCTGTAGGCACTCCCAGTCCCAAGCTCTAGCTCAGGGAAGCTATCCCTGGCTATATTTCATAGCAGTCCTCAGGGAAGGCAGCCAGTGGAATTGCAGAGGGGCCACAGGGTGAAGGAGGCTCCTTGCTGAAATTTGTATTAATTTTGACTGAGCATGATTTTTTTCTGAGCAGAATGCGGGGGCAAATGGGAAGTGCAAATATGATTGCAGAAGCCACAGCCAACAGTGAAGGCAGGCAGAGAGGGATGAGAACTGAGAGCCCTCTTTGCTTTCTCTCCAGGGAAGCATGTAGCCTGGGGCAAGATCTCAGTCCTGCTCACAGATTGCCTGAATATACACTTGTGCTGTTGGCAGGGCACAGCAGCAGGAGTGAGACTGGCCTTGCTGGCTGTGTGGGAGATGAGTGAGGCCTGTCATTGCCAGCTTTCCCCCACTTCCCTGGCAACCTGTATGTATCACACAGCTGAGGCAGCCATATTCCCCCTGGGAGCATAACCCCATTAGCGTGAGAACCAGCCCCCACCCACAATGGCTGCTGCAAGCTCTGGGCAAGGAGAGTCTGAGCTCAGATCCGCCTAACCTTGCCCCCAACTGATGGTGTTACCCTACTCGCCCTGGTAGCAAAAGACAAAAGACATAAACTCTTGGGAGGTCTATGGCCCTGCCCATCACCTGAAAAAACTGAATACTTATCCTAGTCAGTACAGGGCAAGATATTGTCCCCCTTCTACCATCTCAGCTGGTGCTCTCTTGAAAGCAACATCTCCTGGCTGGAGACCAATCAATTCAAGCCATTACAGCAACTCATAACAGAACAACCCTGTTCCAAAGAATGAGAAAACAACAGATAATTCCACCACCCGCAATACCCTGGCTAATCATAGTCCTGATTCTGTCCACATGACAACTTCACTGCTAGCATAACCGGCATTCAAGAAAACCAGTGCACTAAATAAAACTACAAGCAAGGACTCCCACAGAGTTCACTTTACCCCCCTGCCAGCTTCACTGGAACAGGTGCTGGTATCAATGTCTGGGAGACCTGAAGACAGATCACATCACAGGACTCTTTGCAGACATTCCCCAGCACCAGCCCAGAGGATGATACCCTCTCTGGGTGGCTAGAACCAGAAGTGAAATAATAATCACTGCAGTCTGGCTCTCAGGAAGCCCCATTTCTAGGGGAAGGAGGAGAGCACTACATCAAGGAATTACCACGTGGGAGAAAATAATCTGAATAGCGGCACTTGAGTTCCAGATCTTTCCACTAAAATAGTCTACCCAAATGAGAAGGAACCAGAAATATAATCCTGTAACAGAAAAAACAAGGTTCTATAGGATCCCCAAAAGATCACACTAGCTCTCTAGCAATGGATCCAAATCAAGAAGAAATCTCTGAATTGCCAGGTAAAAAATTCAGAAGGTTGATTATTAAGCTACTCAAGGAGGTACCAGTGAAAGGTGAAATCCAGCTTAAAGAAACTGAAAAAACAATACAGGATATGGATGAAAATGTCTCCAGAGAAATAGATATCATAAAGAAAAGATAATCACAACTTCTGGAAATGAAACACAAACCTAGAGATATGCAAAATTCACTGGAAAGTTTTAACAATAGAATCAAACAAGTAGAAAAAACAACTTAAAAAATGAACACAACCTTCAAGATATTTGAGATAATGTTAAATGACCAAATGTAAGAATAATTGGTGTTCCTGAGGAAGAAGAGAAATCTAAAAATTTTGAAAATTTACTTGAGGAAATAATCAAGAAAAACTTCCCTGGTCTTTCTAGAGATCTAGACATCCAAATAAAAGAAGCTCAAAGAACACCTGGGAAATTCATCACAAAAAGATTATAGCCTAGGCACATAGTCATCAGGTTATCTAAAGTCAAGACAAAGGAAAGAATCTTAAGAAATGTGATGCAAAAGCGTCAGGTAACTTATAACAGAAAATTTATCAGATTAATGGTAAATTTATCAGCAGAAAACCTACAAGCCAGAAGGGATTGTGGTTCTATCGTTAGCCATCTTAAACAAAATAATTATCAGCCAAGAATTTTGCATCCAGCAAAATTAAGCTTCAAAAATGAAGGAGAGATAAAGTCTTTTTCAGACAAACAAATGCTGAGATAATTGACCACTACCAAGCCAGCACAACTAGAAATGCTAAAAGAGGTTCTAAATCTTGAAACAAAACCATAAAATACACCAAAATAGAACCTCCTTAAAGCATAAATCTCACAGGGCCTGCAAAACAATTGCTTAATGAAGAAAAACCCAAGGTCTTCAGGCAACAACTAGCATGATGTATAGAACAATACCTCACATCTCAATACTAATGTTGAATGTAAATAACATAGCGATCCACTTAAAATTTACAGAATGGCAGAATGGATAAAAATCCACGAATCAAGTACCTCCTGTCTTCAAGATACTCACCTAACACATAAGGACTCACATAAACTTAAGGTAAAGAGGTGGAAAAAGACATTTCATGCAAATGGAAAACAAAAGCAATAAGAAGTAGCTATTCTGATATCAGACAAAACAGACTTTAAAGCAACAATGGTTAAAAAGGACAAAGAGGGACATTATATAATGATAGAAATATTAATCCAGCAGGAAAATATCACAATCCTAAATATATATGCACCTGACACTGGAGCTCCCAATTTTTGAAACAATTATTACTAAACCTAAGAAATGAGATAGATGGTGACTCAATAATTGTGGGGGACTTTAATACTCCACTGTCAACACTAGAAAAGTAATCAAGACAGAAAGTCAACAAAGAAATAATGAACTTAAATTATACCCTAGAAAAAATGAACTTAACAGATATTTATAAAACATTCTACACAACAACTGCAGAATATACATTCTTTTCATCAGCAAATGGGACATTCTCTTCATCAGCATATGGAACAGTCTCCAAGATAGATGAAAGAATAGGCCATAAAACAAGTCTCAATAAATTTAAGAAATTCAAAATTATATCAACTATTCTCTCAGACCATAATGCAATAAAATTGGAAATAAACTGCAAAAGGAATCCTAAAATCTACATAAACACATGGATTTTATGTAATCTGCTCCTGGATAATCTTTGGGTCAACAATGAAATCAAGATGTTAATTAAGGAATTCTTTGAACTGAATAACAATACTGACACAACATATCAAAACTTCTGGGATACAGCAAAAGTGGTACTAAGAGGAAACTTCATAGCATTAAATGCCTACATCAAAAAGTCTGAAAGAGTACAAATAGACAATTTAAGTTGATACCTCAGGGAATTAGAGAAACAAGAACAAACCAAACCCAAAGCCACAGAAGAAAATAAATAACAAAGGTCAGAGCATAAGCAAAATGGAAACAAAAAAAAATACAAAAGATGATGAAAGAAAACCTGGTTCTTTAAAAAGATTAAAAAATAAAAAGATAGACAATTATTAGTAAGACTAGCCAAGAAAAAAAAAGAGAAGTTCCAAATATGCTCGCATAGAAACAAAATGGAAGATATCACAATCGATAACACAGAAATACAAAAGAACATTGAAAGCTACTATGAACACCTTTTTGTGCACAAATTAGAAAACCTAGAGAAAATGGATAAATTCCAGGAAATATGCAACCCTCCTTCATTAAATCAGTAAGAAATAGAAACTCTGAACAGACCAATAACAAGTAGCAAGAATGAAACAGTAATAAAAAAAATGCGAACAAAGAAGTCCAAGACCAGATGGATTCACAGCTGAATTTTATCATACATTCAAAGAATAATTGGTACCAATCCTACTGAAACTATTCCAAAAGATAGAGAAAGAGTGAATCTTCCCTAAATCATTCTATGAATCCAGTATCGCCCTAATACCAAAACCAGGAATTGACATGAAAAAGAAAACTACACACCAATATGCCTGATGAATATAGATGCAAAAATCCTCAACTGACTACTAGTTAACCAAATAAAACAGTATATCAAAAAGATTATACAACATGATCAAGTGGGTTTCATAAGACAGTTGTAGGGTTGATTTAACATACACAAGTTAATAAATGTGATGCACAGCATAAGCAGAATTAAAAAACAAAAGTCATATGCTCATCTCAATAGATGCAGAAAAGGCATTTGACAAAATCCAGCATACATTTATAATTACAACCATCAGCAAAATTGGCGTAGAAGGGACTTACCTTAAGGTAATAGAGGCCATCTCTGACAAACCCACAGCCAACATTATACTGAACAGGGAAAAGTTGAAAGCATTCCTCCTGAGAACTGGAACAAGACAAGAATGCCCACTTTTACCACTTCTATTCAACATAGTATTGGAAGTCCTAGCCAGAGCAATCAGACAAGAGAAAGAAATAAAAGGCATCCAAATCAGTAAAGAAGAAGTCAAACTGTCACTCTTTGCTGATAATATGATTGTATACCTAGAAAACCCTAAAGACTCATCCAAAAAGCTCCTAGATCTGATAAATGAATTCAGTAAAGTCTCAGGATAAAAAAATCAATGTACCAAAATCAGTAGCACTGCTATACACTAACAGTGACCAAGCTGAGAATCAAATAAAAAACTCATTCCCTTTTTACAACAGCTGCAAAAATAAAATAAAATAAAATACTTAGGAATGTACCTAACCAAAGATGTGAAAGATCTGTATAAGGAAAACTACAAAACACAGCTGAAAGAAATCATATATGACACAAACAAATGGAAACACATCCCATGCCCCTGGAAGGGTAGAATCAATAGTGTGAAAATAAGCATACTGCCAAAAGCAATCTAAAAATTTAATGAAATTTCCATCAAAACACCATCATCATTATTCACAGAACTAGAAAAAAATACTAAAATTAATATGGAAACAAAAAAGAGTTCCCATATCCAAAGCAAGACTAAGCACACACACACAAAAAATCTGGAGGCATCGCATTACCCAACTTCAAACTACACTATAAGGCTATAGTTACCAAAACAGCATGATACTGATATAAAAATAGGCACATGAATGATATAACAGAATAGAGAACTCAGAAATAAAGCCAAATACTTACAGCCAACTGATCTTTGACAAAGTACACAAAAACATAAAGTGGGGAAAGGACACCCTATTCAACACATAGTGCTGGAATAATTGCCAAGCCACATACAGAAGAGTAAAACTAGATCCTCATCTTTCACTTTACACGAAAATCAACTCAAGATGGATCAAAGACTTAAATCCAAGACTAGAAACCATATAAATTCTAGAAGATAACATCTGAAAATCTTTTTTTTTTTTTTTTTTTTGAGATGGAGTCTCGCTCTGTCACGCAGGCTGGAGTGCAGTTGTGTGATCTCGGCTCACTGCAACCTCCCCCTCCCTAGTTCAAGCAATTCCCCAGCCTCAGCCTCCCGAGTAGCTGGGATTACAGGCATATGCCACCAAGCCCGGCTATTTCTTTCTTTCTTTCTTTCTTTCTTTCTTTCTTTCTTTCTTTCTTTCTTTCTTTCTTTCTTTCTTTCTTTCTTTCTTTTTTTTTTTGTGTGTGTGTTTTTAGTAGAGATGGGGTTTCACCATTTGGGCCAGACTGGTCTCGAACTTCTGACCTCAGGCAATCCACCCACCTCAGCCTCCCAAAGTGCTAGGATTACAGGGGTGAGCCACCGTGCCCGGCCTGGAAAAACTTTTCTAGACATTGGCTTAGGCAGAGTTCATGACCAAGAACCCAAAAGCAAATGCAACAAAAACAAAGATAAATAGATGGGACTTAATTAAACTAAAAACTTCTGCATTGCAAAATAGATAATCAGTAGGATAAAAGGATTAAAGAATAATCAGTAGGATAAATGGACAACCCACGGAATGGGAGAAATTATTCACAAAGCATGCCTCCAAAAAGTACTAGTATCCAGAATCTATAAGGAACTCAAACAAATCAGCAAGAACCAAAAGAAATAATCCCATCAGAAAGTGGGCTAAAAACATGAATAAACAACTCTCAAAAGAAGATATATAAATGACCAGCAAACATATGAAAAAAATGCTAAACATCACTAATGTTGATCAGGTAAATGCAAATCAAAACCGCAATATGATACCACCTTACTCCTCCAAGAATAGTCATAATTTAAAAAGAATACAAAAAATAATAGATGCTGGCATGGATGTGGTGAAAAGGGAACACTTTTACATTGCTGGTGGAGATGTAAACTAGTACAACCACTATGGAAAACAGTATGAAAATTCCTTAAAGAGCTAATAGTAGAACTACCACTTGATCCAATGATCTCACTAGTGGGTATCTACTAAGAGGAAAAGAAGTCATTATATGAAAAAGATACTTGCACAGGCACATTTATAGCAGCACGATTCGCAATTGCAAAAATATGGAACCAGCCTAAATGCCCATCAACCAACGAATGGATAAACAAAATGTGGTATATATATTCCATGGAATACTACTCAGCAATAAAAATGAAAGAAATAATGGCATTCGCAGCAACCTGGATGGTGCTGGAGACTATTTTTCTAAGTGAAGTAACCCAGAAAAGGAAAACCAAACATCGTATGTTCTCACTTTTAAGTGGGACCTAAGCTATGTGGATGCAAAGGTATAAGAATGACACGATGGACTCTGGGGACTCGTGGGGAAGGATGAGAGGGGGTGAGAGATAAAAGTCTACACATTGGGTACAGTGTACACTGCTGGGGTGATGAGTGCACCAAAGTCTCAGAAATCACCATTAAAGTACTTTTCCATGTAACCAAACACAACCTCTTTCCCAAAAACTATTGAAATTTTTAAAAAATGGAAGTAGAGAGTAGAATGGTGGTTATCAGAGTCTAGGAAGGGTAGGAAGGACGGGAGAATCAAGAGATTTTGGCTAATGGATACAGACATAATTAGACAGAAGCAATAAGTTCTGTTGTTTTATAGCACAGCAGGGAGGCTATAGCTATCAATAATTTATTGCATATTTCAAAATAGCTAGAAGAGAAAATTTATTTTTTTTATTTTTGAGGAATATACTTTAACAGGAATTGATAGAATTGGAATTGATGCAATTGAGTTGATAAGAGGAATTGATACAATTGGAAAGATATTAATAAACACCAGCACAGAAATCACTAGTCTGTCTCTGAATGCAGATTTTCTCCATTCCAGAAACACAAGGTCTTCATCTTAGTTATGCTATGACAAACTGACACAAAGAAATAATGAATGTTGGAGGTGATGTATATGCTAAATACCCTGATTTAAACATTATGCATTATATGCATGGATCTAAATATCACATGTACCCCTTAAATATATACAATTATTATGTATCAATAACACTAATAAACTGTAAAGAAGAATAGTTTTTATTGAAAATTTTAATATTGTAAATGATACATTTAATTTTCTCATAGAGCAATCATGTATTGTGCTTTCTTTCTTTTTAAGTAAAACAAAACAAAAATCCAAACACTTTGTGCACTTCAGTTTCTTCTTGAAATTTGTTTTTCTAAAGCTAGATATGAAACTGGATTAAATTGGTAAATAATTTTAATACAATGATTTTTAACTCTAATTTTAATAAAATAACTGTTTAACTCTTATCACATATTTAATGTATGGTGTGGCATCTTTGCCAGAAGGTTAGAGACAGTGTAAAATAGGAATAAGAACTTATTGCAGTAGAAAGGTTCCTTGGCTTTTTGCTTGTTTTTCATTCTGCTATTAATACAAAGGGAAAAATGGACAATCTTGTTTATTACTGAAAAAGAATCTGATTTTTGTTCAAACATAAAATTCCACAGACAGGTACAATAATTATTTTCTTTAGGCTCAAGTCATTTCTTACAACCAATACAAAGTCAAGCTGGAGTGGAAAATTTCAGACTAACCTCACCTACTTCTTAAACAGTTTGACCTTCTTTCAAGATTCTATGAGCTACTTACAGGGCTATGCCTACCTGTTACTAATCTGTTAGTAATCATTCTCTGTGGACTTCCCTTCTTTCAATCCCTCTTTCCTTTGGACCCCATCAGACTTTTATGTCACTTTTCTCTAATTCCCTCTGGTCATTCCTTCATTATCCATGGCCTTCTGTTAAGGTTTCTAATATTTCATGTCTTATTTTACACTGAAAACTGTTTGTAAAGCTCAAAATCCTATAGTGAAAAAAGGTGAATAAAAACTACCTTTACACGTTCAGATTCAAAGCCAAAAATTAATGTATCAGTTATCTAATTGCTGCATAAAATGCGACTTCGTGACTTGAAATGAAATAGTTATCTGTTGTCATTTCCTTTATTTCTGTGTGTTTACTGGGCTTAGCTGGGTGACTCTTGTTTAGAGTTTCTCATGTAGTTGAAGTACAGTTTATAACTGGAGACGGAGGCATCCAAAGGTCAGACTGGACTGCATGTCCAAGGCGACTTTTTCACTCACATGGCTAACGTTTTAGTTGGGATGTTGGGAAGACATGAGAATTGGCTAGGCATCTTATTCTTCCTCTCCGGACTCTCCACATGGCTGGCTTGAGCTTTGTTACTGCAAAGAGCTTTCAAGTTGTCAATTCTTGCATGGTGGCTGGCTTCTGTCAGGGAATATGTTGCCAGAGATCAATGCAGAAGCTAGAAGGTTTACTATAACCTAGCCTTGGATGTTTCTCACTGTTACTTTTACTACATTCTATTTGTTACACATAGCCAGCTCAATTTCAGTGTTGAAGGGGATTATACCAGCTCTTAACAGATGGTGTGTTTCATTGGGATGCCACTTTTGAATAATGGCTACTGCAAGCTACGAGATGGGCCACTGTGTAAAGAATTTTAGGTTGTCACCAAACCTTGAGATCCTGTTAGCAGTACCCTCTGTAGGTCTAGAAAAACAAACATTTATGTTTGCTTTTGAAGCTATTAACTTAACCCTGTCTGCAGAAGGATACTTCATATTACATACGAGTGACAAAAACATGAAATATTACGTTGTTGGAAATCTGGACAGATAAAATGGAATAGAAACAAATGTAGTGAGGACAAATAGCAACAACTGCACATACATCTACCCAACGTAGAGAATAAATGGAAAATGTGGAGAATATTTTGAAAACTATCTAAAATTTTTTTCTTGTTTAAGTTATGAAATGGAAAGCAGACTTATGAAGCTGATAAATGTATCCTGCAGGAACAAAGAATAAAGTGTTTGCAGCATCAAGATTTATGAACAGTAGGAGTATATACACTTTCAGGTATTCATCAACGTAAAAATACCAGTCATTTCTTAGGTTTTTTTTTTTGTTTTTTTTTTTTTTTTGTATTCTCATTCCAAATTGGATTACAGTCTCTAAGGATGCTTGTTAAAGAAAGGTTTTTGAACCCACATTTTAGATTTGTAAGAGAGAACATAACATGGCTGTAAGTTTAATTGCTGTATTTCTGTCTAAAAGCCTTAATGTCCCCTCTGATCAAATTCAAATCCTAACAAATGTATGATTGTTGTCTTTACAAATTTGATTTTATTTAAATTTGCATGGATTTTATGAAACAATGTGTTACCTAAAAGTTAGCCAAACCATCATCAAGTGTTTATTTACTCATATTATACAGTTGACAGTAAAACCCTCAACATGTAGGAAGCAATATTTGATTGAGTTAACATTTCAAAAAGATAAAACGTTACCTTTATATCAAGATTCTTTGGGGTTAGATTTAGCTTCCTAAAATAATTTTCCCAGTTGTGTTCATCGTTTAAGTTTCCCTGTGGTTACCTTAATTTAAAGTTTGAAGAATATCCAGGAAAAACAGCTTTCGATAGGTTTAATCAAGAGCACATTCATTTAACGTATACAGTGAAGTTTCAAATATGAGGAAATGGCTGTTAATAGTGGTTAGAACACACCTACAATTTAGGCTTTTAGCTTACTTCTCTGTTTTCGTTGTTGTTGTTTTTGTTTTGTTTTGTTTTTTCAGGAACAAGTCCCTATGATTACAGTTGGTAGATATCAGAAAAACATCTATCACAAATAAGCACCTGAAACTTTGATTGGGTTCCAAGTGCTTCTTTCTTAGGAAAATATTTTTTTATGAATTGTTTTGGATTTTTTGGACGATATTTCCATGTCAAATATTTTCGCTTTTTTTTTCTAGATTTTTAGTTTGCCACTTTGAAATTGCAGTTGTTTATAAATAAAAAATAATAATAAATTGATTTCCTAGAGTATTTACAGTTTTAGGCTAAAACTCCTTAATTAGACATCCGAGTGAGCAATGTGCTTGGGAAGTATGTTGATTATCATAAAATCATTCAGTCTTTTGCCTTGCAGAGTAAATTTTCCAATAAAATTTCCAAAGGTAACATCAATATAAATGAATAATTTTAAAGCCATTTTAACCTGTTAGATGAAGCAATGATAGATGCGTGTGTTCTATATGCAAATTTTTGGCTCTTTTCAATAACAAAATATGGAGAGACGTACTCATGGTTTCCCCTCTGGAATGCTCAGCAAAAATGTGAAAGATTTTTATAATATAGACGTACACATAAAGAGTTTAAGTTAATTACTCCCATAGAAAATAAACTGAGCACTTATTCTGGCTACTCAGTGCTAGGCACTGGAGAAGACTAGGCAGGCAGCAACTATGATGTGTGAGAAATGAGTAGGGGGAGGAGGAAAATGTTCAATGTAAGGCTGAAAAGGGTATTGAGATAAATTGTGACACCATAATAACAAATTTGGACTTCATCTTGTAAATAACCATTGCTAAAGTGACAAGATTAGATATGGGTTTCAGAAAGGTGATTTAAACCTCATTTTGAAAGACAGATCAGAGGAAAGATGTATCTGAGAGACAACTACTTTGAAAGTTCTTGCAAGAGAAAGTCTGTCTCAGGGAAGGAAGAGTAGGAATGGAGAGGTGAAACAGACTTAAGTGGACGTAGGAAGCAAGAGAAGGCGTTTTGGGTGGCACAATATATATTTTTAACTTCTTATTATCAGTTACTAGGTGACATTTCTGTATCAGGCACTGTGTGTTAAGTGTTGATGGGCCGATATCGAAGGGCAAAAAACTATCCCTGAAAGAGGCTTTCAGTTACAGGGCTTAGCTGGGTAATTTGCTTCTTTGCTTCTTTAAATTGTTTTGAAAAAATAAATGTACAGTTACTTCCCACTCTTCTTTTGGTCGGTTTTTCCACCCGTATTTCGACATATGTTAAAAAGGGGTTTCTTTACCGGTGCTATCTCCAACATCACAGTTCATCCCTGATCTGACTTTACGTATCAACAACAAAAACACTGTCAGCAGTTTGAGTTCACTTCACATGCTCTTTAGCCTAAATGTCTTTTCATTTCTGTGAACTGTTCGAACGGTTTTCCTCATTTTCTTAAAATTCTCAACTGCCTAACCACCAATACTTGTATCAGATTTAATTTAGAATTTAAGATCAGAGGAGAACTTTCTTTAAGATAAAGAGAAGTTTATTTCCCTTACTTTATGAATAAGAAAACCTAGAGAGGAAAAGTGATTTGCTCAAGTCTATAATTAAATACCCTGAGAACAACATCCCAATTTCTTGATAAAGACATTAACAGTTTTTAGCTTTAAGGCCCTTTTATAAGTTACCCATGTTTTATCTTCTTGATTTTGTTCCTCATTTATCTTCATTTTAATACATTTTCAGCTTTTTTTTTTACTCATTTACACGTCCCTTCAGCTTTGAAGAGCCATCCACTGAATAACTTTTTATTTGCCAAGCTTTCTCTCTTTCTCATATATCTCATCTTCTTTTCACAGTAATGATGATGGTAATATTAATGGGTTTGGGTCATAATCCTGAAACACAGTCCCAAACAGCATAATTAGGAAGCTGAAATCCTAAAATATCAAAATCCCTAAAGTCAGAATTCCTTCAGCCTAAAATATCTAATGTCTAAAATCCTGAAAATTGCATTCCCCCAAAATTAAAATCCTGAATGTTAAAATTCTGAAAACAGAATTCTGAGTAAAAGATTAGTATGTTTTTAGTTGTATACAAGATAATTGAAACATGTTAGTTGTATCATGTGAAGTGTTATTGTCTTTATTTGAAAATTATGGTTTAAGGAGATGAATATTGGTGAAAAGTTGACAAGGAGTGGACTTACGTACTTAATGATAGATGTCAACTTGGCTGGATTAAGGAATACATAGAAAATTGGTAAAGTATTACTTTGAGTGTGTCTGTGAGGGTGTTTGCAGAGGAGATTCATGAGTGAGTCTGAGTGGACTATATAGGAAAGATCTGCTGTTAGTGTTGGTGGGCACCATTCAATCAGGAGAGAGAAAATACAGAAGGCGATTTGGTCTCTCTCTGAGAACAGGGAGAGGCTTTGCTACGTTGCCTGTCAGAAATTTGACTCCACAAAAGTGCATTATCACAACTTTGACTTTGTGGGTAAGCATTGTGTATGTAAAATGTTGAAACTTCCTCAATAAATGAAGAGATGTCCTTTTGTACATGTGCATTTGCGAAAGGTAAAACTTCTCGAGATCTCAGCTCTATGAATGACTGCACATGAGGTGGTGACCCATTGCGATTTTTGATCAATCTTGTCAAAAGTCTTAGGTTGTTCACCACAGTATTTCAAGTGACTGCAGTTATACAGCTGAGCGCGCACAATTACCCACCACAGTTATATGCAATTATGTATTTCTCTTTTTGACCTATTTCTATATGAATACACCTCATCTGCTTATAACTGGTTTACTTATTTGACTGTCATTAGTATACTGCAGTGCTTATGCTCGCAAAAAAATATATATGTTATTATTGCCTATTGTATCACATAAAGTGGCCTGGGAACTCTTCTGCTGTGTTTTTAGATTTCTCAAATAAACATCCCTTTAAAATGTAATTTTCATACCTGTTATTTTATTTTTTAATACCTGTTATTTTATTTTTTTAAACTTGTTAAAAGCTTTTCATTTTAATTGTGTGGGTACATGGTAGATGTATATATTTATGGGATACATGAGATGTTTTGATACAGGCAGGCAGTGCATAATAATCACATCATGGAGAATGGGGTATTCATTCCTTAAAGCATTTATCCTTTCTGTTACAAACAATCCAACTATACTCTTTAAATTATTTTTAAATGTACAGTTAAATTACTATTGACTATATTTACCCGGTTGTGCTATCAAATAATAGGTCTTATTCTTTCTATTTATTTGAACCTATTAACCATCTCCACCTCACCGCTACCACACCACAATGCTTCCCAGCCTCTGGTAACTGTCTTTCTTCTCTCTGTCTCCATGAATTCAATTGTTTTTATTTTTAGATCCCACAAATAAGTGAGAACATGTGATGTTTGTCTTTCTGTGCCTGGCTTATTTCACTTAGCATAATGACCTCCAGGTCCATACATGTTGAAATTGACTGGATCTCATTCCTCTTTATGGCTGAATAGTACTCCATTCTGTATAAGTATCAAATTTTCCTTTATCTATTCATCTGTTGATGGACACTTAGGTTGTTGTTAAATCTTGGCTATTCTGAACAATCCTGCAACAAACATGGGAGTGCAGGTATCTCTTCAATATACTGATTTCCTTTTTTGGAGAGTATATACCCAGCAGCGGGTTGGCTGGATCATATGGTAGCTCTATTTTTAGTTTTCTGAAGAACCTTCAAACTGTTCTCTATAGTGGTTGTACTAATTTACATTCCTACAAACAATGTACAAGGGTCCCCTTTTCTCCACATGATTGTCAGAATTTCTTATTGCCTGCCTTGGTTATAAGCCATTTTAACTGGGATGAGATGACATCTCATTGTAGTTTTGATTTGTATTTCTCTAATGATCAATGATATTGAGCACTTTTCATATCTCCATTTGCCATTTGTATGTCTTCTTTTCAGAAATGTCTGTTCAGATCTTTTCCCCATTTTCGATGGGATTATTAGATTTTTTCCTATAGAGTTTTTTGAACTCCTTATATATTCTGGGGACTAAATCCTTGTCAGATCAGTAGTTTAGAAATATTTTCTCCCATTCAGTAGGTGGTCTCTTTACTTTGTTGATGGTTTCTTTTGCTGTGCAGATTTTTTTTAACTAGATGCGATCCCATTTGTCAATTTTTGCTTTGGTGGCCTGTGCTTGTGGGATATTACTCAGCAATTTTTTCCCAGACCAATTACCTGGAGATTTTCCCCGCTATTTTCTTGTAGCAGTTTCATGGTTAGAGGTCTTATATTTAAGTCTTTAATCCATTTTGATTTGATTTTTATATATGGTGAGATAAAGGGTTCTAGTTTCATTGTTCTGCATATGGATATTCAATTTTCCCCACATCATTTATACAAGAGACTGCTTTTTCCACAGTGTATGTTCTTGACACTTTTGTTGAAAATGAGTTCAGTGTAGGGATATGGATTTATTTCTGAGTTCTCAATTCTATCCAAGTACTCTGTGGGTCTTTTTTTATACCAGTACCATATTATTTTGGTTACTATAACTCTGTAGTATAATTTGAAGTTAGGTAATGTGATTCTTCCAGTTTTGTTCTTTTTGCTTTGGATAGCTTTGTATATTCTGGGTCTTTTGTGGTTTTATATAAATTTTAGGGTGTTTTTTTTTTCTATTTCTATGAAGAATGTCATTCATGTTTTGATAGGGATTGCACTGAACCTCAAGATTGCCTTGGAACTTTTTAACAATATTGATTCTTCCAATCCACTAACATAGACAATCTCTGCATTTTGTGTGTGTGTCCCCTTCAACTTCTTTAATCACTGTTTTTTAATTTTCATTATAGAAATATTTAGCTTCTGAGGTTAAGTTAATTTCTAACTATTTAGTTTTCTTTTGGCTATGGTAAATGGGATTCCTTTTCAAATTGCTTTTTCAGATTGTTCACTGTTGGCATATAGAAATGTTACTGATTTTTATATGTTTATTTTGTATCCTGCAACTTTACTGAATTTGTTGATCAGTTCTACTTACTCCTTATCATTTTATAGTTTTATAGCTTCTTTGTCTCTTCTTAAAGTTTTTGTCTTGAAATCTATTTTGACTGATGTAAATATAGCTACTCCTGATCTATTTTGTTTTTCGTTATCATGAAATATCATTTTTCATCTCTTTATTTTCAGTCTATGTGTGTCTTTATAAGTGAAGTGAGTTTCTTTTAGACAGCAGACCATTGGGTCTTGCATTTTAATCCATTTAGCCACTATGTGTTTTTATCCATTTAATTTTTTGATTGGAAAAATGTAGTCCATTTATTTTCAATGTTATTTTTGATGAGTAAGGACTTATTCTTAACATTTTATAATTTGTTTTCTGTTTTTTTGTGTGTGTTCTTCTCTTCTTTCTTTCTTTTATTCCTATCTTCCTTTTACTGAAGGTCATTTTCTCTGGTGATATGGTTATCTTCTTTTTTTTTAATTGTTGTGTATTTGTTATAGATTATTTGGGTCGAGGTTATATGAGGCTTGCAAATACTATTATTTTAGGCTAAAATAGCAAACTGTCACATAAACAATAAACAAACAAAAAATGAAAAGTAGTAAAAACTCTATGATTTAACTTTATTCCCCCACTTTTTAACTTTTTGTTGTTTCTATTTATATCTTATTGTACTCTCTATGGTTTCAAAGTTTTTCTAGTTATTAGTTTTGATTGGTTTATTGTTTAGTATTTCTACTTAGGATAAAAGTAGTTTACACACCACTGTTATAATATTGTGGGTTTTTCTGTGTATTTACTAGTAAGTTTTGTACCTTCAGGTAATTATTTACTGCTAATTAACATTTTTTTTCTATCTCATTGAAGTATTCCCTTTATCATTTCTTGTAGGACAGGTCTGGTGATAATTAAATTCTTCAGCTTTTGTTTGTTTGGGAAAGTATTTCTCTTTCATGTTTAAAGAATATTTTAGCCAGATATACCATTCGAGGGTAGTAGGTTTTTTTTCTTTTTCAGTATTATAAATATGTCATGTCTCTCTCTCCTCACCTGTAAGATTTCCACTGAAAAGTCTTCTGCCAGACATTGGAGCTTCATTGAATAATATTTTTTTTCTCTTGCTGTTTTTGGAACCTGTTTTTAAATCCTTGATCTTTGGGGGTTTGAATATTAAATGCATTGAGATAGACTTCTTTTGATTAAATCTGCTTGGTGTTCTATAACCTTCTTGTAGTTGGATATTGATATCTTTCCCTAGGTTTAGGGAGTTCTCTGTTATTATCCTTTTGAATAAACTTTCTACCTATCTCTTTCACTACCTCCTTTTAAGGCCAATAACTCTTAGATTTTCACTTTTGAGACATTTTCTAGATTCTCTGGGTATGCATCATTTTTTTTTGTCTTTTGTCTCCTCTGACTGTATTTTCAAGTAGCCTGTCTTCAAGCTTGCTATGTTTTCTTCTGCTAGATTAATTCTCCTATTAAAATACTCTGATGAATTCTTTAGTGTATAACTTCCATTATTTGTCTTCAGAATTTCCGATTGATTTTTTTAAATTATTTCAGTTTATCTGATAGAATTCTGAATTACTTCTCTATATTATCCTGAATTTCATTGTTTTCTAAAAACACTTATCGTGACTTCTCTGTCTGAAATTTCACATATCTTTGTTTCTCCAGGAGAAACAAAGCCTGTGGCTTACTTAATGCATTTTGGCAATGTCATGTTTTCCTCGATGGTCTTGATACTTGCAGATGTTCATCTGTTTCTAGGCATTGAAGAGTTAGGTATTTATTGTAGACCTCACAGTCTGGTATTATTTGTTTCTGCCCTTCTTGGGTAGGTTTTCCAGATATTTGGAAAGACTTGAGTACCGTGATCAAAGCTGTATCTGCTTTAGGTGGTACCCCAAGCCCAATAATTCTACGGTCCTTGCAGACTCATAGAGGTACTGCTTTGATAGTCTTGGGCTGGATCTGGAAGAATTTTCTAGATTAACAGGCATAGACCCTTGTTCTCTTCCATTACTTTCTCTCAAACAAATGGGCTCTCTCTTTGTTCTGAGCCAACTAAAGCTGAGGGTGAAGTGAAACAAGTACCCCTGGTGGCCACCACCACTATGACTGTGCTGGGTCAGACATGAAGGCAACACAGAACTGGGTCTCACCCATGACCTGCTCTAACCAATCCCTGGCTACTGACTATGTTCACTCAAAGCCCTGGGGTTCTACAATCAGCAGGTGGCAAAGTCAGCCGGGCCTGTGTCTTCCCCTTCAGGGTGGCAAGTTCTCCTAGGCCCTAAGCAGGTCCAGAGGTGTTGTCCTGGATCCAGTTACCAGAGTCAAAATCCTTAGAAATCTACCTGGTGTTCTATTTTACTGAGGCGGAGATGGCACTCAAATTACAAGAAGCAATCCTTCTCATTCTTCTGTCCACTTTCCAAAAGCAGGGGAGCCTTACCCCATGGCTCTCACCACCACAGGCCAATGGAGAGTACTTCCAGACTACCACTGATGTTCTCTTAAAGCCCAAGGGCTCTTCAGTCAGTTTGTGGTAAATGCTTCCTGGGCTGGGACTCACTCTTTAGGGCAGTGGGCCCCCTTCTTTCTTAGGATAGGTCCAGAAATGCAATCCGAGAATCAATTCCTGAAATCAGAGACCTCAGGAGCCCACTTGCTTCTCTACCTTTTGTGGCCAACTGGTATCTAAGGTGCAAGATGAAGGCCCCTTTACTTTTTCCTTTGCTTTTATCAAGTAGATGGAGTCTTACCCCTTAGCTGCCACAGCAGGGAATGTGCTGAGTCTCACCTGAAGCCAATATGTCTCAGAAGCTTACCCAAGGCCCTTGATGTGGTTCCTGGGTATCACTGCTGGTTATTCAGGGACCAAGAACTATTTATTTAGCAGATGATGAATGCTGTCAGGCCTGGGTCCTTCCCTTGAAGGCAGTGGGTTCCCTCTGGCCAAGGGTTTGTCCAGGAACTAGGGCCTGGAAAAGAGGCCTCACAACTTTGACCAGTGCCCTATCATGCTGTTGCTTAGGTGGTATCCAAGATGCAAGATAAAATTCTCCACACTCTTTCCTCACCTCTCCTCAAACAGAAGGATGGGATCTCTTTGGAGCCACAAACTCTGCCACCTGGCTTTAGAGGAGAGATCCAAGCACTCCCTTAGCTTCCCTAGCTGGTATATGAGTAGTTCCTGTGCCCTCCCATTCCTCTGGTTCTGGGCCCAGTTCAGCACTAGGACTCAGCTAGGAGTTGCAGCCTAGACTGACCTTCAAGTTTCTTTAGAGCCCCAGAGCACTTAAGTCCACGGTGGTGAGGCATGCAGGAACTCAAGTTCTGACCACTGGGATCTGCAGTTCCCCTCTGGCTAGAGCTGGTTTAAATGCTCCCTCCATGGGTGCGTGTCAGCTGAGTTTGGTCTGGTTTTCTTTCCTGCTTCAACGGGACAGCAGTGAGTTAAGTGCCTCACAACTCCTATACTCTCCTTCCCCACCCCAGCCCCCTGCCCCCAGCACGGAGAACTGTTCTCTGCGCCATGCCTCCAATGCTGGTGGATCAGGGAGTGGTAGTATTGGCAATTCAAGACTGTTTTTCTACGTCTTCAGTGCCTCTTTCAGTGATATGAAGTTAAAACCAGGTATCGTGAGTGCTCACCTGATTTTTGGCTCTTATACAGGTGCTTTTTTTGTGTGTAGAGAGTTGTTAAATTGGTGTTTTTTTTTTATGGAGGGGATGATCAATAGAGCCTTCTATTTCACCATCTTGCTCAGCTTGGTCTCCAAAATGTAAATTTATTTTAAATTATTTTTTCCAGAATTATTTCAGGATGATAAAATTTGGGATTTTAATTTTGAGGATTATGGCTTTTGAGACTATGTCTTTCAAGATTATAATTGGCTCCTGATATTAACACTTACCACTTATGTGTCATGTATTACATTAAGCCGTTAACATGAATTATCACTTTACAAACTTACTGAAATCTTATTAGATATATATGCTTACTCTCATTTTGTATTTAGAGAAGTGTGGATACACACTGGTAAAATCACTTATTCAAGAATACAGCTAAAAATTTACTTGGATTTGATATAAAAATGTACAAAATTTGATCACAGAGTTACTAGAAATTTTTTTGTACTTCCTGATTTGCTAAGTACAACTTCCATAGTATAAGTATGGTAAACAATTACTTCTCATCTCATTGGTATTAAAAATAAAATAGACAGCAATGAAAAAACATGTAAAATCTTTATGGTCTTTTTATCTTCTACTTAGCAAAATATATTTTGTTTATGTTTTATGGTATTTAGCATATTTATATTAAAATATAAATTAAATACAATAAATATAAAAAAATCTCTAGAAGCTGGCTTAGCATACATACCTGAATGAACAGTATCCATATTTCATACTCCTAAATTATCCATTATGACAGTTAGATGAACACTGGATAGTGTGTAAAAATGATAGGTGGTAAATTTTGAGTGGTCATTATATACTGACCTTGAAATAATTAAAATAAATTATGGGGACTAAATGAATTATTTATTTTCTAAACTTCCTTGTTTGGCTTGTTGTAGACAATGTTACAATTTGTCCTTTACAACTGACTCCTCTACTTACATTTGTCTTACTTTGTCCAGTTACAGAGCTTCAGGCTCCCTAAAATGCCCATTTTCATTTCTTTGAATGTATATTTACTTCCATTTTTTATCCGCTTCATTATGCATATAATTTTCCATGCGTAATAATTTCACCATATCAGCAATATCTTCTGTGTTAACAAACACATTTCAAATCATCTTTCTTTCACCTTCTAAAGCCTATGCTCTTCTTTAGTGGCACTAAAACTCTTCTTTCTATAGGTCATTCATATTTTGGAAAATAAGATCATTTTGAAGAGATCACATAAGGACTCTATAATTCGGCTTGCTTATTTCATGTTGAAGACTTGATGCCAAAACATAGATACAGGTTAAGTAATAGTGCCCCTAACTCTTTAGATTTAACTCAGAGGTACGAAATTGAGTGTTAGACACTCACAAGAATATTCTCAATGTTGATATGTAAATTTCATCAGATTCTCCTCTGACAAAATATACTGGGAAAACTGTTAGATTTCCAAATAATTTCCTCAGGGCAGCTTTATTCAATCCAGCCTCTAGCAGCTTAAGCAAATGATCGGAAGCCAAATGAGTACTCATTTTAGAGAACTAAGGGTTATGAAAATTTCCCTGGGATAACCTGCCCATGTCACAGCTACAAAGTCTCTGGACACCTATATTAAATGTGTCTGGATTCTCCTCAACAAACTGTGTCTTAATTCTCACTCTTTGTAGTATGATAAAGTCGTGATTCAGCCTTGTTGGTAGTTTCTTATCTTCTTAAGAGGGATTTAATTAGGAAATGTTTTACTTATGTGTGGAGTAGGTGAACATTAATTATCTAATTCTCATAATTTCCTTCAAAACCATGATTTTTGAGATGGAATATTCTGTAACATTTTATGTTTATTACTAAGCATGAGATTTGGCTTAGCTTCCGTAAGTAAATGACAGTTTGGACAATGGGGAGTGTTTTCTTCACTGTTTTTTTATATTCTATTGGTTTTCTTTCATAAATCTAGTTCCACCTTGCTATCAACTGAATAAATCTGATAGTAAAGTATTGAAGTAAATGTCAATGTGTCAATTCTTATGTAGTTATTTTAAAAGTCCCAATATTTGTATATTTTCATTTTGTAGGTGCCATTAAATGTTGATTTGTAAAAGACACCTCCCCACAAGGCATTTGCAAACAATAGTAATGCAGAAATAAGCAATTATATATTTCCCAAAATATAATTTTTCAAAGGATAAGCAAGGCATTTCACTGTTTCACCCCCGTCCAAATTCTAGTAGGTATTTATACATAAGATTAAAATTATTATTAATAGAATAATGTAATTTTATATATAAAATTAATATAATTTATATTAATATAATTTTATATATAAAATTATTGTGGGGCAGAAAAGTGGAAGTAGTACTAAACTAAAAGTATAATATTCAGTACTAGAAATTATATTATATAGAATTTTCTGACAAATAATTTTATTATTATTATTATTATTATTATTATTATTATTTTGAGACGAAGTCTTGCTCTGTCACCCAGGCTGGAGTGCAGTGGTGCAATCTCAGCCCACTGCAACCTCCGCCTCCTGGGTTCAAACGTTTCTCCTGTCTCAGCCTCCCCAGTAGCTGGGACTACAGGTGGATGCCACCATGCCTGGCTAATTTTTGTATATTTAGTAGAGACAGAGTTTCATCGTGTTGGCCATGCTGGTCTCAAACTTCTGAACTCAGGTGATCCACCCACCTTGGCCTCCCAAAGTGCTGGGATTACAGGCTTGAGCCACTGCACCCAGCCCTTCGTTTTGGTTTTTAAGTAATTAAGAGACCAAATTCAAATCCTGGTTGCACATACCAAGCAAAAATATACAAAGACTGATGCATGTAGTGCTCAGAAATTACTCTGGTACAACCGGGCACTAAAATACAGACACAGTATTCTCTCTATCATGTTATACTATCTCCTTGTTCTCATGACATCAGCACTTTAGAAGACTACTGGTCAGGTGTTTTGGAATTTCTCCCAATTTTTGTTTCTCTGATCTTTTTTCATGATTATACTGAGGAAACAGATTTTGGGGGAATAACGCAGAGATAAAGTACTCTTCTCATCATACCATTTTGGGGTAAAATAATATCTGCATTACTTATTATTGGTGATGTTAAACTTGACCACTTGACAAAGGTGGTATTTTCCAGGCTTCTGCACTGCAAAGTTACTACTTCTCCTGTTCCATTCTCTGTTTTCAGAAATGAGTCACTAAATCCAGCCCACGCTCAGAGGAAAGAGAATTAAACCCCAGGTTTTGGAGGGAGAAGTATCAAATACTTGTGAACACTTGTTAGGAAAAACACCACTGAAATTAGTAAGTAGGTTTGGGAAGATAATTTGAGTCTATTCAAATATACTGTTTCTTTTTAAAGTTGCTTCCAAAATGTTTAGCAGTCATTAATGGTTCTTGCTTGTAACAATTACTGCTGTAGTATTCCACTGATTACTTTTTATTCCCATCATTCTTAATTCCTGTGTTATATGGAATTCTTCTGGACTAAAGATATGTCTCTTTTCTCGTTTATTTATTTATTTGGTCATTTATTAATCAGTATGGAACTGCTAATGTGTATCTACCTTTTAGCCTCCTCCACAACTCCAAAACTATCATTATTAATTTTGTTTCTCAAACTATTCCAGATTTGGTCATTGGAGCTGATCTTTCACGTTGGCTCCTTTGTCTTCCCTCCCTCCCTCCCTCCCTCCCTCCCTGCCTGCCTGCCTTCCTTCCTGCCTTCCTTCCTTCCTGCCTTCCTTCCTTCCTTCCTGCCTTCCTTCCTTCCCTCCCTCCCTCCTTCATTCCTCGCTTCATTCCCCTTTACTTCCTTCCTTCCATCCTTCCTTCACTCCTTCCGTTTTGACTTCCTTCCTTCCTTCCCTCCCTCTTTCGTTCCTCACTTCATTTCCCTTCCTTCCTTCCCTTCATCCTTCCTTCACCCCTTCCGTTTTGACTTCCTTCCTTCCTTCCTTCCCTCCTTTCTTCCTTCCCTCCTTCCTTCTTCCTTTCTAAGCTCCCTCTGTGTACTGAGCCAGAAATAATATGTATGAGTGCATGTATACTAACCCATATATAAATATATACATCTATAGTTATGTCTATATTTATATATTTGTATCTCTATTAACATAAACACTGATATTTCTCAGCTAGTTATGCCCCACAGGGTTTATTCTTGCCTTCCTTGTTTATTGTATCTAGTCAAAACACTGGTTGTCAAAGTTACTTAGGTTTGTTATTTTTCTTTTCGAACCCTTCGGTGAAGTTATGTTATACATTTACAACACAGTTGGGTTCATTTTTCTTGTCTGCAATCCTTCCTGGGATTTCCTGACATCCTGTTTTTGTTTTTTGCAATTTCCATATGGTAAAGTTTATCTTTTGGATTGTACAGCTCTATAAGTTTTGAAAAATGCTTAGTCATGTATCCACCACCAAAGTACCATGCAAAACAGCTGCATCTTCCTAAAATTTTCCTGTGTGTCCTCTTTGTAGCCAAGTAATCTTCCTTCCCATAATCTTTGGCAACTACAGATCTGTTTTTCATTCCTATAGTTTTGCCTTTACCCAAATGCTTTTCAAACGGAATAATACAATGCTTAGCAAAATGTATATTAGATTTAGCCACACTGTCGTTTGAATCAACTGTTTGTTCATTTTTCTTGCTGAGTATTATTACATTCAATGGATATATTACAGCTTGTTTATCCATTCACCTGTTGAAGGATTTCTGCGTTCTTCTTTTTGTGATTATAAGAGAAAGTGCTATAAACATGTGTTTATAAGCTTTTAGTAAATACGAGTTTCCAATTCTTTTTGTTAAATATCTAAGAGTGGAATTACTGGATCATATGATAAATGTATGTATACATTTGTAAAAAATTGCTAAACCATTTTCAGAGGTGGCTGAACAATTTTGCATATCATCTAGCAACTAATTAAAGTTGCTGTTAACTTGCATCATTGCTAGAATTTTATCTTGTCAGGTGTGTGTGTGATTGTTTTGTTGCCATTTTAATACTTGTGTAGTACATTGTGGTTTTAATTTGCATTCCCCTAATAATTAATGATGTTGAGTATTTTTTTCACATGGTTTCACATATCTATTTTGGGGAAGTGTCTTTTTAGACTTAAAAAATTATTAAATTTATTAAAATTTATTAATTTTGTTGCTTTTTTCCTTATTGTTGACTTTTGAGTGTTATTTATATATTGTACATGTAAGATTTTATTGGAGATGTGATTTTAACTTGCAAATATTTTCTCTTAGTGTGTGTGTTACCTTTTCATTCTCCTTACAGTGTCTTTTACAGAACAAAGTATTCTAATATTGATAAAGTCTAATTTAACATTTTTAAAGTAGATCACGCTTTGTATTTTTTAGTTAAGTCTTACTGTTAAACTAAAGATTATATAGATTGTCTCATGTTTCCTTTTAAAAGTTTTATAGTTTTGTTATACATTATGGTAAATGACATATTTTCAGTTAATTTTTGGATAATGTATCAGGTATATGCCTGTAGTTTATTAATTTCATATGGATTTACAGTTGATACTGCAATATTTGTTGAAAAAATCCTTTCTTTATTAAATTAGTGAATCTCTGTAAAAAGAAGCAATAAACTGTATTCTTATAGGCCTATTTCTCAGCTGTCTCTTCTATTCTGTTGATGTATATGTTATCTTTTTTTCCAATACCACAGCTTTAATTATTAAAGTTTTATAATAAGTCCTGAAATTGGACAGTGGGAGCCCTTTAGCTTTTTTCTTCTTTTTCTGAATTGTTTTAGCTATTGTAGTTTCTTTGTTTTGCCATATATATTTTAGAATCAGCTTCTGATATCTGAATAAAAGCTTGCTGGGATTATGATAGGAATATCATTAAGTGCATATAGCAAATGAGAAAGGATGGACATGTTAACAATATTGCACCTTCTAATTTACGAATGAGGGAAATATCTTTTTCATCTCTATTGATTTAGATATTTGATTTCTTTTACCAGCGTTTTGTAAGTTTCAGTGCAGACATTCTTCACATATTGTGTTAAATTTATACCCAAGTACTTAATTTTATTTAGTACTATTGTAACTGACGTCATTTAAAAACTTCAGATTTCAACTCTTAATTGCTGTAATATAGTAATACGATTGATTTCTGTATATTTTCTTTGCATTATGAGACATTGCTAAGTTCACTTATGAGATCTAAGAACTTTTTGTACATTTTGTATGTTGACTGTCATGTCCTCTGAAAATAGAGGCAGTTTTGTTTCTTAGTATGCACTCTATATGTCAATTCTTTCTTTATTTTGTCTCAGTTCGCAGGCTAAGATCCCCAATGTGATGCTAATAGGAGGAGTGAAAGCAGATATTTGTCTTGACCCTGATATTACAATAGCATTCATTCTTTTACCATTAGGTATAGATGATAGCTGTAGATATGTTAAATGTTTTTTAATAGGCTATTCCCTTCTCATTGCATTTAACTTTAAGTGAAAGCTTAATCTGTGTAAACTTTCATCTTCTGCTCAAATTAAATAACAAAAAGTTCTAATCATATTTTAAATTTGGAAGCAGCTATGTCTAGTTATGTTATTAAAATTTTCTATAAGCCTTTTGCTCTGCATCCTCAACAGAATTTGTTCTTGTCAGGTTTGTTTGTTTGTTTTGTTGCTATTCTTATATTTGTGTAGTGCATTGTGTTTTTAATTTGCATTTCCCTAATAACTAATGGTGTTGAGCATTTTTTTCATATGTTTCCACTTATCTGTATTTATTAAGTACAGATATTTATTATATTATTATTAAGTAGAATAATATAATCTTAATAAAAAGCATCTGATAAAACTGTACCACTAGTAAGAAAAACAGCTCTTTATATGCAGTTTCTGTTTAGGAAGTTATGATTTAGGGTTAAGGCCTTAAGATATACCATCTCACGCCAGTTAGAATGGCAAAAATTAAAAAGTCAGTAAACAACAGATGCTGGAGAGGATGTGGAGAAATAGGAACGCTTTTATACTGTTGGTGGGAGTGTAAATTAGTTCAACCTTTGTTGAAGACAATGTGGCAACTCCTCAAGGATCTAGAACTAGAAATACCATTTGACCCAGCAATCCCATTACTGGGTATATACCCAAAGGATTAAAAATCTTTCTACTATAAAGACACACGCACATGTATGTATATTGTAGCACTGTTCACAATAGCAAAGTCTTGGAACCATCCCAAATGCCCGTCAGTGATAGACTGGATAAAGAAAATGTGGCACATATACACCATGGAATACTATGCAGCCATATAAAAGGATGAGTTCATGTCCTTTGCAGAGACATGAATAAAACTGGAAACCATCATTCTCAGCAAAGTAACACAAGAAGAGAAAGCCAAATACCACATGTTCTCACTCATAAGTGGGAATTGAACAATGAGATCATGGACACAGGAAGGAGAACATCACACACTGGGGCCTGTTGAGGGGTGGGAGGCTGGGGGAGGGATAGCACTAGGAGAAACACCTTATGTAGGTGACGAGTTGATAGGTGCAGCAAACCAACATGGCATATATATACCTATGTAACAAACCTTACACGTTGTGCACATGTACCCCAGAACTTAAAGTATAATAATAAAAAATTAAAAATAAAAGATATACCATCTCCTACAATTTATTCAGAACTTTTAGTCTGAGTACACATTGCTTCCTACATATTTTATTTATGTTTTTATTTCTCTTTCTTATGTGTACTTTTCTGTTTTTTAAATATAACTGGTTAAAATTGTTACGTATTGATATTTGATCAGAGAATCTAGAAGTAGAGATGAAAAAGACCTATTGAGTCTTTCTCATTCCACTGTGGAGATGCACTGACCACCCAACTAACTGTGTTTCATCTACATAAAGCTATAGGTGGGTCTATTAGTCCCTGCAGAAATAATGCCAGAGGGGCTTTTCTTATTCAGAAAAAAATTTTTTTTCACGTGTATTACTATTTCATCCTATCATGATTTTGCATTTGAGAGGTAAATTGAAAAGAAAGATAAATTCCTTAGCAAATGTTTCTTTTCAGGATAATTTCTTTAAATATTTTTCACCATAAAGAAGTCATTAAGACTATCACAGAAAGTTTCAACTTCTCTATTACATGAATTGATTATTACTTAGGGGTTTAGAAAAATCTCAAACAGAACGATCTCTGCAGGCAGGTTTGTAAGAAACTAATGACTAGAAATGAAAGAAGCAAATAAATGGAAGTAAGGGTAGGTCAGAGATGTTTGTGAGAGAAATGACATCTAGAATGAGCTGAAGTAGACAGAACCTTTTAGTTATCTCAAGGTGAATTGATCTTTATGAAATGTTTGCTATGTGAAGCTTTATTTGAAAATACAGTTCTCCAATTCACAGGAAGGTATCACTTTAGGATTAGGCTGAGTAAGTGGCTGAGTTATAAGACCAAGTGTACCAACGGCAAGTAAACTAATCTGTAGTTAGTTGTAGAATGTGGTCAGATCAGTTTACCATATCTATCTACATAGTTTGACAGACTACAGATGCATCCCCTGGTGGAAACCTTTCACCTGAATCCAGACAAACCACAGGAAGCAGATACATGCATTGTATAGTCAGTTTACCCCAGGACTACTGACTAGACATTGATCAAGACCATTTCTTTCTGCTTGCCTGTGACTTCATAATAGTCACATAGCTTAATTCATACGTTATAATACTCAAATACACAAAGTGGAATGGCAAGTTTAATTATTTTCTTATTATCCGTAGTATTTGAAAGCATTCAAGATCCTTTATGTGTTACTACTCTATAAGTTAACAATGGCACTAATGAAATTTATATAGCCAATTAGGGAGATATAGCCAGTTACATGAAAGCATATCCTCACTGTTCTGTGTGTAACAAGGCTACAGTGTGAATAAAGATGCTTTCACAATGCCTGAAATGCCTCCCAACTCTCTTCTTTTTCATGCTTAATACCACAACCTTTTTCCCAGTTAACAACTCAATGTTAAATATGCATTATATGTATATACATACATAGTGTTCTCATTTGTTAAAAGCATTATATCTTCTTTTCTTTTTAACTAGCACAAAACAACCATGTGTAATCTTAAAATCCTACTTGTTACACCTCTATTTAATTTTATAACTTTTTTCTGTAGGAAAAGGCATTTTTTTAAAAAAAAATAGACATATGATGGTAGACAGTAAATTGCTTTAGCCTAGTAAACAAAACTAAAATGATGAATTTCTAAAGGATTTTTTAGAACTGTATGAAATTTGGTTTCATACAAGAAACTTTCATTGAATCAAAAGATAAAAAAAATCTTCCATGGGAGATATAATCAGTGCACTGACAGATTTGATATATAGCAGCTGACTTATTAGTCCATCAGATGAACCAAATGTGTAAGTATTACTACCTTTGTAATACAATGGTAAAAATCCAGTTTATGGTCATTAGAGAAATGCAGATCAAAAGCACAATGAGATACCATCTCATGCCAGTTAGAATGGTGATCATTAAAAAGTCAGGAAACAACAGATGCTGGAGAGAATGTGGAGAAATAGGAACACTTTTACACTGTTGGTGGGACTGTAAACTAGTTCAACCATTGTGGAAGACAGTGTGGCGATTCCTCAAGGATCTAGAACCAGAAATACCACTTGACCCAGCAATCCCATTACTGGGTATATACCGAAAGGATTAAAAATCTTTCTACTGTAAAGACACATACATGCACACGTATGTTTATTGTAGCACTGCTCACAATAACAAAGACTTGGAACCAACCCAAATGCCCAAAAATGATAGACAGGATAAAGAAAATGCGGCACATATACACCATGGAATACTGTGCAGCCATAAAAAAGGATGAGTTTATGTCCTCATGATGAAGCACAGATGAAGCTGGAAACCATGATTCTCAGCAAACTGACACAGGAACAGAAAACCAAACACCTCATGTTCTGACTCGTAAGTGGGAGTTGAACAATCAGAACACATGGACACAGAGAGGGGAACATCACACACCAGGGCCTGTCGGGGTTGGGGGGTTAGGGGAGGGAGAGCATTAGGAGAAATACCTAATGTAGATTACAGGTTGATGGGTGCAGCAAACCACCAAGGCACGTGTATACCTATGTAACAAACCTGCATGTTCTGCACATGTATCCCAGAACTTAAAGTAAAATTAAAAAAAAAAAAAAACAGTTTATATTGGACAGATTAAAGATCTATTTTTATAAATCTGCAGCTTAAATTAACTCGTTTAGTCTTAGTGAATAAAAATTTTTATAAATTTATTTTAAAACTATATTTAATTTTGTCTATATAGCAATAAAATTAACCACAAATTAAAAAATACTGTGTTATTAAAACATATAATTCATAAATACGTGTTTCTTTAATGACATTTTAATGCTATTGTAGCTGAGAATATGCCTTGTGAAACACACACAAAGAGACCCACAAACTAAGAAAAAGAAATTAGAAGACAGCAATATTATACATCAGTTATTCCACTCTGGAGGAATCATGAGAATCAAATTATTTGTCTCAGCAATTCCCTTAAATTGCTTTTGTTTTTTAATTTCTTTAATGAAACTATTAAAAATACCGTTTGGATATTCTCAACAACATCAGTGATAATAACAATATATTTGATATTCTGGAAAAGGAGAAATATGGTGAACATTTTTATTTTTATATACAGTATTTTTAATATAAATTACAGTAACTATAGCATGAGAAAATTTGAGATACAAGGTATTGATTTCCAAAAAAATGAATGGTCAAGATAAAGAACAGAACACAAATGGATTTCTAAACTCTAGGCTTATTATATTGCCCAGAAATTATTAAATAAGGCCTAAAGCTGAAGTAAACAGTGGTGCTAAATATCTCACATTCTAAAGCAGTGGTTTTTATAACTTTATCGTGTGTCAGAATCACCTTCAGGGACTGCCAAAATACACATTGCTTGGCCCCACCTCTAGGTCCTAATTCAGTACATCTGAAGAGAAGCCTGAGAGTTGGAATTTCCCACAAGTTTATAAGTTATGCTAATAATGCTGTTCCAGAAACACACTTTAAGAACCACTGCGATAAAGAGAGCTAAATACATTTCTCAGGGCTTAAGAGTTGACCAAGCCTGCTATACTACCACTTGCCATTGACTCCAAATTCTGTCTTCGCAATTTGTATAAGAAAAATTAGAACAGGAGAAATAAATAGTTGTTAGATTCAATAGCTTTTAAGAAGTGTCGGCCGGGCGCGGTGGCTCACGCCTGTAATCCCAGCACTTTGGGAGGCCGAGGCGGGCGGATCACGAGGTCAGGAGATCGAGACCATCCCGGCTAAAACGGTGAAACCCCGTCTCTACTAAAAATACAAAAAATTAGCCGGGCGTAGTGGCGGGCGCCTGTAGTCCCAGCTACTTGGGAGGCTGAGGCAGGAGAATGGCGTGAACCCGGGAGGCGGAGCTTGCAGTGAGCCGAGATCCCGCCACTGCACTCCAGCCTGGGCGACAGAGCGAGACTCCGTCTCAAAAAAAAAAAAAAAAAAAAAGTGTCAAGGTGATTGTGAAAACCATTTCTGTTCTTATTCTGGCTATAGGTCCATCTAAGAACTCACACAACCCAGCCAGCCTTTTCATGCCTACCAAACACAGGTTATTAATGATTGATGTTAGACACAAAAGTATTGACAATCCACAGATAAATGACTACAATAGTACCGGATATCTCTTCCTTTTCCTTCCATCCTTCATATTTCTGCACACAGGAGAAACTTAGTCTTAATGAGGGAAAGGTTGCCTCAGGTCCGGATGGCAGTTCAAGCTTGTGATTTCAGGGTGGTGGGGAGGAGATGAGATTAAAGTGTGGCATTCACAAGTCTCTCAATCTGTTACCTGTTCTGTAAAATGGAGATAATTGTAAATTATGTGGCCATTGAAAAGTTTAAATGAGATAATTCACATAAATTACTTAACATGGAGTCGGCACTCAATGAATGTTAGCTCTTTATTAGCTATATGTGATGAGATGTCATAGACAATTTCCAGATCATGTGTTAACACGTTGAAATTATTGTTCAGTGAAACAGTGTAACAAACTCAATAACATCATTCTGGAATTAAACATCCTGGGTTCAAATCTTGTTTCCACAATTTATAGCTGTGTCATTCCACCTTTTTTAAGGCTCAGGGTTTTATCAGTATATTGAGGATAATAGTTCTTATCTCATAGGGCTATTGTGAAAATTAAATGTTAATAGTCTTGGTAGATCCTTTCGCCTAGCACTCACTGTATAGTTAGTGCTAATAAATGCTGGCCTTTAGCAGTGTAATGTTAGAAAGATGGTGGCAGAGGCAGCTGGTAGATGAATGGGGACAGACTGTAAGCAATTGTTTAGGAATTGTCACTAACAGCCTTGATAATAGCAGTAAAAATTAAAATGAAGATAAAGTGCCAGATTCATGAGAAGTTACAAAAGATGAATTAGTAAAAGTTTGTACTTGATTGTAGTACAAAAGTTATTTAAAAATAATTTTTAGGCAAGTAAACAGGGTAAAGGTTTTTGGTAAAAACTAACAGAAACGTGGCTTAGAAAGCCAAGCCAGCAAGCTTCAATATACAAATGCCAACAAATAGTAACTGGGTCTACCCAACATGCCGATTCCCACCATCTTCTCCTTGTCACCACCTGTGTCACATGTCATGGCCACCTCCAAATAACACCATGTGCTCAAAACATCATGGCAACCCACATTTGCATATTAAAAAGCTAAGGTGGAAGGGCCAGGTTTTTCTTGGGCTACGTAAATAACACACCTAGTCAAACCAATCCCCTGGGCCCTATGTAAACCAGACACTGCCTCCTCCAGCCTCCCAATATAACCAACAAATTTTCTGCCACAGATGAGGTTCCTTTTTGTTCCAAGCCCTCCTTCCTCTGTCTCTATATGAAGAAGCTGTTTTCTCCTTTCTTATTTCTGGCCTATTAAACTTTTTGCTCCTTAAAACCACTCCACATATATCTGTGTCGTTAATCCTATTGGCTCAAAACCAAAAACGCTGGTGTTCTTCCAGTCATCAAAGCCGTATCAACTGGATATAGAGAATAAAGGAGAATAAATAGCAAAATATGATTCTAAGATTTTGACTTAGTTTAACTTTAGTGTGGTGTGGACAAAAATAGTCGATTAAGGTATGATAATTTTGTGTGAGTGTTTGTGTGTGTGTGTGTGTGTGTGTCCATCCATGCCTGTGTTTATAAAAGAAATATAATGAACTTAGTTTGTTACCTGAAAGTCTGAGACAACTTTTCCAAATTGAAGTAACTAATGCTTTTAGTTCTGACTCATGCTTTTCAAGACATTTGCATAGACATAATGGTTGAAGTGGTGAAGTAGCTGCCAAATTTATAGTTTGTTGTTTACAAATATTTAAGTATATAAGAATTCAAACACACCTGCAGAAATTCCTGAAATGAATGCTGTTCCTATTTGTTCTAGATTTTGTATTACCCATGTTGAAGTCTTTTTTTTTTTTTTTTTTGGCCTTTGGCAGATACCCAGGATCCAGATTTTTTTTCCCGCACCTCCACCTCAATTAAAATGCATAAAACCAAAGTTTTAGAAAGTTTTAGTCATTCAGTGCTTAGACGCCAATTTGTCATTTAACAAACAAACTCATGCTGTGATAGCTCCCTGGTTACTATTTGGATTTTGACAAGTACAGCACATCCTGGAAATTATACTCTTTAACCCTGCAATGCGATTTCAATGAAATTTCAGACTTTACTGCAGACAAATTAGAATGCGTGATACATTTGATAGAAAGAATTTATTATCTATCAAATTATACCTAGCGACAGCTATTTATTCAACCTATGAATAAATGCTTCTTGTACTTTAACGAACTGACCAGGAAGAATATCTAATATATTTCATATAATTAAATAACCAATTGCACTTCAATTTGCTCACCTGTGAAAGGCAGGTAACATTAGCGTCTATATCATAACTTTGCTAAAGGTGAAGTGAAGTAATACAAACAAAAAGGTTAGTGCCTTAAACAAGGTAAGTCCTTGACACATATCAACTATTATTTTGTACAGGATAGGGTTATTGTTAAAAAGTGTATGTGAAAAGAAAATAGCATGCCTCAAAGTAAAATCATATTGAATAGTAGAACGTTTCATTTTATGCATGATGAGTTGACATGCTAATATAGAAAAAGACCTTACCTAGTTTGATTTTTATATAAGCTCAAAGTTATTCTAAATTTGCATAATTTTTATTTTTTGCTATGTAATCCTTAAAAAGTAGTTTAAAGAAAACATACTGGCTTTTTAGTAGATGATACAAAAGTTGAATGCAAGGTAGATTTTCAGCTAGGAGAGCTTTAGATATGCAGACAACTAATTTATGTTTGTGTATTTTTACCTGTCTTTTTCTTATTTTTTGGTTCAAATATTTTTTCAATGTACATAACAGGGTGTCTACTCTGCAGCTCATAAATAAAAGAATGCCACAAATAATTAAGTCTACACTTTGGAGTTAATTTCCCATTTCAAGTATATATGGTCAGCTGTTGGTGGTGACATTTGTCTCATTTTACGAAATGAAAAAGCAAATTGAAGCAATTTTATGAAAACTTTTAGTCTCCTTAAAATATTTCTAATAACTTGATACTACTAAGAGTATGGAATTATGAAACAGCCTTTTTTTCTTCAGATAATCATTTTCACATTTGACTAGACAGATGGAACAGACACGTTTGGGGGTAGGATCAGAATTTTTGAAGTGAGGCTGCCAGGTAGTCATGGTTTTGACTTTGTATATTTGACTTAAGACATGAACTTCTTATACCTCTGATTAATGGAGATTTTCTTCAGTCTCTTAATTCCCCAAATGAGTAGCTCAAAATTTATTTCTGTTTTTGATTCAGGATTTAATTGCAATTGAAGAAAGTGCATAGATGAAGAGACTATGATTTAAAAGGTAAAATATTTATGTCCATTCCTTTATCATAGTATTTAAATAGTACTTATTCCAAATAAGAAAGCTAAAAATACATAATTAAGAAAATCTGATCTCTCTGTAAACTATTCTGGCATTCCTCACTTACTATCTACTAAAATTAATCTTTGGAATTAGAGGGAGCACAAAATTACTTAAGATGGTTATCAAAAAAAGATGATATTACTATAACGTAGTTATTATGTTTAATGTATTTGATATTCCTAAAATCATTCAGAATATTGACAATCTAATATCCTTGATAAATCTAATACTGATAAATCAGACAGATGGACAATCTAAGTATATTAAGCTTTAACCATTCAGAATAACAATTGCAATTTTTAACTACTTTTTAAGGATTACATAGCAAAAAACAGAAACTATGCAAATTTAGAATAACTTTGAGCTTATATAAAAATCAAACTAGGTAAGATATTTTTCTATATTAACATGTCAGCTCATCATGCATAAAATGAAATGTTCTACTATTTAATATGATTTTATTTTGAGGCATGCTATTTTCTTTTCACATACACTTTTTAACAATAACCCCATCCTGTACAAAATAATAGTTGATGTGTATCAAGTATTTAACTTGTTTAAGGCACTAACCTTCTTGTATGTATTACCTCACTTTACCTTCACAGTAACGTTATGATATGGACACTATTGTTGCCTACATTTCACAGGTGAGCAAATTGAAGTGCAAAGATGTTAAGCAATTTAACTAACAAGTAGTTAGTGTATATATACGGGAGTTTTTTGAAAGGTTAATCTGCAAGGGAGTTGTTTGGAAGGTTAAGATACATATTTAAATTAGAGATTGGTCTTTTGGTGCAAATGAATTTGCTTTTTGGTGTGTTCAGTGGGTACATCTCCTATCTTTCCCACTTTTTCAGCATCTGAATTTTACAAATACTGCCGATATCACTGTATTTAAAGATTGGAATCACTTTTTAAATTTATTTGTTTTGTAGACTAAATATTTCTTTTCCCCAGACTCCTTATCATTCCTACTATTCCACAGAAATTGATTTTCTATATCCATTTCTTATACTGGTAAACATTAATCTCTTTGTAAATGATAACATGCCTGAAATATTGAATTGACTTCACCATGACTCAATTATTTGTTTCTAATAATAAGAGCTTTGTTTTTGAACATATAGCCATCAGAAAGAGTTGTTTCTTTATTTGGAGCCTGTGGCTTGTTTGTATGTTATGTATTAATTGTAGTGCTTTATATAGTCCAGAGACACAGTTTCTTCAGAATATATTTTTCTATGATGATGCAAATATCATTTTGTTCTGGAGAAAAGGAAGCAATTGGCATGCTCACAAGGATTCTCAATTCAAGTTAAATAACCCATATTCCATTTTGTGCATGGCAAGTTTACGAAAGTTTACAAACGATAGTTATCAAAGGCTTCATCCAAGAGAATTTCTACTCAAGTGTGGAAAGCATTAATCATACTGAGGAGGAGAATCCCTCAGAGTAAAAACAACTGAAAAGTTCACTTAAAGCTCTTCATCTTCTGAGAACAGAATCTCAGGAACAGTATTTCTTTCTATTGCGTTAGCAATCTCTCAGCAGATTTAACACCCTAAAATATATTTTATATCTTTGAAAGTCACCTTTAATTATCTAAGAAAGACTATTGAAATGTGTACATTTTTCATTGTAAGTGTCTGTCTTCTGAGAGAAAAAAAATGGTAAGAGCTTTTAGTAAAAGTAGGGGCTTCAGACTCATTACACGTAGTTTCCTACTTTCCTGTTTAACCATAAACACAAAACACAGCATCTATATCCACATCATGGTTATAAACAAGTGTCATCTTTGCTACTAATGTTTTTGATGTTTTAGATGGTTTAACCCAACTTGCTTGATTGAACCACCACTTTAGACACAATTTATTTGGGCAGAATGAGTATTTAAGACATCAAAAATTATTTACTGTATCATATTACCCTTTGTCTCTCACTCCCTTTCCTTTTGTCATATTCCTGCTTCCTCCAATTTCTGTTTTTTATTTTATACGAACCGATTAATAGTTGCACACTCTGGTGCAAAATGTTATCCAGAAATGCTGCTGGTTCCTCTGGCGAAAACTTCAAAACATCGCCCCTTTATATTTAGTGATTACAAGATACACATTTATGAACAGTCCAGACTGACCTCTGCTTCTGCGTGCTGGAATTTCTGCACAGAGTCTCTGCTTATGGAGAGTAGGAAAGTGGATGATTGGCAGGGCTTCTCTTTGTGATTACACTAGCATGGTCCCATTGCCATTTGCGAGTTTTACAAGTAGACCAAAGCTGAAAAAAGAATACAAGTTGGATAGAATAAATAATTGTCCAGAAATGAGTTCTCAAAGTTATGGGGCATACTCACAGTATTTTATGGACTTTTGATTGTTCTATGATCATTCTACAAATGTAATGAATTTTAGAATCTGAAAATAGAACACAGCCAATGTCGTCACTTTTATTCTTGTTTCCCGGGAACCTTTTAATCTTTAGGCCTCCCAAATCTCTAGCATTGCTCATGCAAGCTACTTGAATTGTCTTAATAATTCTCATATGCAAACTTACAATAATTGAATCTCTTTTTTGGTTTAAGCGTGATAAAGTCTCCTCTTTATACATTCTACTTTTAGATGATAAGTAGATAACTTTTGGCATTGGTAACTTCTACACCATGAAAATGATCATAGTGTCTGGGAATCTATTCATTTAAAAACCAATTTGAGTAACAATTAGCTTTCTACTTTACTACTCTTAATGATGAATTAAATTTATGACTATATCTTTTATATTCAAAAATTTTGATCTGCTTAAAATATTCAAAATCTTGCTTTTTAAAAATGTAATTGAAAAAACTATAATGCTATCTTTAACATTTTGTCAATTGTTTGTATTTTGATTCAATCATAAGCAGAAATAATGCCTTTGTAATATTTTTTTAGCCAGCAAAATGTTTGGATTCATAATTATTTTTAGGCATATCTGGTGCTGTCAGTTTAAATGCCAAATACCAGATTATTGCAGCGGAAATGAACGAATACAATCATTGACAACTTTGGTGAGAGGTCCTTCTCCCTCATAGCAAACACCTGCTGCTGTCTCTAAATGCCGTCTTCTTCTCAGTTTAGGCCACCTGCTGTGCTTCCCAAATGACACCTCTCCCTCAGCAGCCAGCCACCTGCAGTTTGTACCAACTGCCTCTTTTACCTTGTTCTCCTCCTCAGAGAAGCTACTTGCTGGGAAAAAAAAAGAAATAATTGAGGGGGTACTTTTTTGGCTAGTGCATTCCCTGCTTGTGTAAAGATGTAACTGCTGGCATTTAGTCACTGCATAATATTTTTATACTCAATGAATTAATTGTTTTGTCAAAAAGAATTCTTATTGGTTTATATAATACTTCATTTTAATAGAGAAATTCCACGTTTTATTTAGTAACTTTTCAAAATAAACTTTTAGGGTTGATTGGCCAAGAAACAAAATTATATGCATAGGAAGTTCATGAGTATTTAGATGTAGTTTGGAAACAGAAGACACCAGTATTGATATTACATTTATTCGGAATTAGGTTTCAACAGAAACTTTAGTTACGTTTCTAGTTTAGTTCACAGATGAAAATGTTCATTCAATTAGACTGAGAAAAGCAAAGAGTTGACTCAACAAAGAGTTTTATCTAATTAAATTCTGGGGGAAATGTGCTAGAGCTTTGCTTGTATTTCTAGATTCATGATATAATGCCATATATGTATTATATTAATGTAACTTACAGTTTTTTAAACTCAATTAAATAGAGCTTAGTATATTTGCTTATCAAGTACTGAATGAACTACTCAGAGGAAGACACACTTCCGCAGTTATTTTACCTTCTTAGTACTGTTGTTAGCAGTGATGAATCTGTACAAGTCTGCAGCAACTCGATTCTTGCCTCCTTGGAGAAAATAATTTGGCCGAGGTGCATAAAGCAGAAAGAGAGGCTGAGGCAAGTTTTAGAGCAGGAGTGAAAGTTTATTTTAAAAGTTGTAGAGCAGGAACAAAGGAAGGAAAGTACACTTGGAAAAGGGCCAAGGCCAAGCTCGCGACTTGATAGATCAAAGCGCTTCATCTGGTGTTTTTTTTTTTTTTTTCTTTTTTTTTTTTGGAGACGGAGTCTCACTCTGTCTCCCAGGCTGGAGTGCAGTGATGCAATCTCAGCTTACTGCAACCTCCGCCTCCCGGGTTCAAGCAATTCTCCTGCCTCAGCCTCCCGAGTAGCTGGGACTACAGGAGCACGACACCACGCCCGGCTAATTTTTTTTTTTTTTTTTTTTCTTAGTAGAGACGGCGTTTCACCGTGTTGCCCAGGCTGGTCTAGAACTCCCGAGCTCAGGCAATCCGCCCCCTCGACCTCACAAAATGCTAGGATTACAGGCGTGAGCCACCGCACCCGGCCGACTTGATGTTTTTATACATAGGCATGGTTCCAAGGTTTCCGATTCTTCTCCCTTGATTTTTCCTTGAAATGGGCTGTCCATATGCACAGTGGCCTGCCAGCACTCGGGAGGGGCTGTATGCGCAGGGTGTTTACTGAAGCTGTGCATATGCTCATTTGAGGTGTTTTTTCTTACCAGTCGAATGTTCCTAGAGGAAGGTCACATACCAGTTAAACTCTGCCATTTTGCGTCTTAGTGCTGTGCTTGAGCTCACTTGCACAGTTCCTGAGATTTTATCAGGAGGCTGCTAATCAGCAGCTTCAGGTGTTTTCTATTAGGAGCTTGCCTTTCCTTGGCGCCGGCTGTGACCAATTATTATTTTAGAGAGACAGTTTAACAACTGCCTGACCATTATCTAATGGTTGACTGACATTCCTGGGGGGCCCTCTTCTGTCTTGCTTATGTGTATCTAACTACCTACTTTAATACTGTCGTAACATTTTAAAACAGATAAAGATGTTACACATATATATTTTTTAACTTAATAAAGTGATGGAACATAAGAGCTATTTGATCATTCTTTCCTCAAGGTACTTACTATTCTGTTAACAATTCTGGTTCTTTTCTAGAACTCAGGGCTGTTGAAGAAATGTATTAGTTATTTTAAGATTAAAATATTAACATAGATTTTATACTCCTTACCAGTTATTTGATTTCATGCTGAGCTTTATCAATCCAAGCCAAACCTTAATACAAGCTCTGGAGGTTATGGGTCAAAAGATGAACTGATCTGAAACAATTATCTAGGTCCCAAGGTATTCTATATGTCTGCTTAGATAATGTGCAAAGATATTCCAGCTGGACGAATTAGTTCTAATGTCTTCCTTGAGCATTCAAATTTACTTGGCAATGACACAATCCTCTGCTGAGTTTTTCCAGCGTGGTCATGGACCAGAGTAAGGTCCCACATTTCCCTACTGCTAGATTAATTCTGCAATTTAGGATTTCCTGTGAACTGCTCATGGCATTAAGAGTTTGTCCTGGCCGGGCACTGTGGCTCACGCCTGTAATCCCAGCACTTTGGGAGGCCGAGGCGGGTGGATCAAGAGTTCAGGAGTTCGAGACCAGCCTGACCAATATAGTGAAACCCCGTCTCTAATAAAAATACAAAAATTAGCCGGGCGTGGTGGCGGGTGCCTATAGTCCCAGCTACTCGGGAGGCTAAGGCAGGAGAATGGTGTGAACCCGGGAGGCGGAGGTTGCAGTGAGCCAAGTCCCACCACTGCACTCTAGCCTGGGTGACAGAGCAAGACTCCGTCTCAAAAAAAAAAAAAAAGAGTTTGTCCTTAGGATGGTTAGAAAGCCTTAGTCTGTTTTAAGTGGCTCCTCCCTTGAGATTTATTCTGGAGATTTATTGGAGTCTTAAGCGAAAAGTTCAGTGGAATATATAAGCTATGAAGTAGACTATAGCATTTAACAGTGTACAGCAGTTGTAGAGTAGACCAAATGTTTTATCATCTGCATAGTGGAAGAGTGGGTACACCAAAATATATGTATATATATTCGAGACAGTCTCACTCTGTTGCCCAGGATGGAGTGCAGTGCAGTGGGCCAATCTTGGCTCACTGCAACCTCTGCCTCCCAGGTTCAAGCGATCCTCCTGCCTCAGCCTCCTGAGTAGCTGGGGTTATAGGCACGGGCCACCACACCCGGCTAATTTTTGTATTTTTAGTAGAGACAGGGTTTCACCGTGTTGGCCAGGCTGGTCTTGAACTCCTGACCTCGTGATCCACCCACCTCAGCCTCCCAAAGTGCTAGGATTACAGGTGTGAGCCACCGCACGCCACCTAGTTTTTGTATTTTTAGTAGAGACAGGGTTTGCCATGTTGGCCAGGCTGGTCTTGAACTCCTGACCTTAGGTGATCTGCCCACCTTGGCCTCCCAAATTGCTGGGATTACAGGAGTGAGCCACTGTGCCCAGCCTCAGAACACTTTTTATCTACAGGTTATACAGAAAAATCTGGGGACTCTAGTGTTTTATTTGCCTAATTAATCTAGTTTTCAACCTAATATAATGATATGATGCTTGTTGTAAAACAACGTTGAAATTAATCTGTAAGAAAATTGTAAGGCTCCAGGTATAGTGTGGATTTAATGATTAAAATCTTTGGTTGGAAACTTGTCACAGGATTCATTTTATGGTGAAGGAAGACACTAAAGCTCTGTTTTGACTTTGAGTACAGGGAGTCATGAAAAATGTGTCTATAAAGGGTGATTAGACACTGGAATGGGGTTCCAAAGGTGAATTCTGAATATTCTTTTTTGCATGCCTTTCAAACTAGAACAGATGACAGGCATCTGTTTAGATGACTTATACACAGAACTGTCTTAATAGTCTTATGTTGAACCCATAGATAATATTATAGTGTCAGTGTAATTGCATAAAATTAAAAATAAGAAAAATGACAGGTAGAACTGATAATACATACAGGTAGCTAGTTGCAATGAATAGAAAAAAGTGTTTTTTAATATATTAAGAAGTATCTGTCCCCCAAATTTTTAGGGAAAGCCCCTGGGCTCCAATGAAATAGTAAGTTTGAAGCATGCTTTCCTGTACACAGTTCCTTTGGAAGAAGTTGAAATTAATTTTCTAACTATAGCCAAATTTGAGTGAGTTTGCAGATTATTTGTCTCCTGGCTAGCTGTGGATAAAATGATTTTCAGAACTTCTTAAAAATACATTTCAGTAATATACTACCATGGAAACTAGTAATAATAGTAACTTATCTTAATCCTCTAACATCAGAATTCCATTGAGCTTGTGTTCTCTGCCATCCTTTGCTTACTTCAAAGCTGGAGTCACCAGTATAACAATAACATTTTGTTTTTCATGATGGAAAAATTTTACTTTAAAGTTTTCTATTTTTTTTCAAAAATATACTTTCTAATGTCCATCAATGGAAAAAACTTTCAAAAAAGTTTTTATTTTTCTAATGAAATAATCTTGTTTCTTGTCAGAAGTTAACTATTAATAATATTGCAGCTTATTACATCTTGATTATGATTTGTAGGTTGAGCTTTAGGGGTCCTGCATAAATATCAAAATATATTGCACAATAAAGAAAATGTGCATTTCTCTGTTTCATCAATTTGGCATATCTCCTTTCATTTATAAAATGAGGCATTACTATTGAAGCCATGAGGGGATTTTTCTACAATTATATGATCATGACATTTTATTTCAGATCAGTAACTATTTATTTAGTAACCCAAACATTGCTAGGTGCTGTGATACAAAATTCTGGGGAGTACAAAGATAGTCTTATAAATGCTGTGTTGTTTCATAATTCGTTTTGAACCCAGTGGAAAATAATAATAATGCAAATAATGTATTCATTTTGATTATAGTATTAAATAGCTATATGACCACAGGAAAAAAAGGACAATAAATCTACAGATGTTTCCAGTGTTAAGATTACAATAATATAGAGTTGTTAACACGAATGGATGTTAAATTTTATTGAAAGCCTTTTCTGCATCCATTGAGCACCGGCAGAGATTTCATGATGAAGACACAAAAACAATTGCAACAAAAGCAAAAATTAACATATGTGATCTAATTAAACTAAAATCCTTCTGCACAGCAGAATAAACTATCAACAGAGTAAACAGAAAACCTACAGAATGGGAGAAAATTTTTGCAAACTATGCATCCAACAAAGGTCTAATATCCAGAATCTATAAGAAACTTAAAGAAATTTATAAGAATAAAAAACAAACAACCCCATTAAGAAGTGGACAAAGGAAACGAACACACACCTTTCTAAATAAGACGTACATGAGGCCAACAATAATATGAAAAAAAGCTCATCATCACTGATCATTAGAGAAATGCAAATAAAAACCATGAGATACCATCTCACACTAGTCAGAATGGCTATTATTAAAAAGTAAAAAAATAACAGATGCTGGTGAGGTTACACAGAAAAAGGAACGCTTATACACTGTTGATGGTAGTGTAAATTAGTTCAACCATTGTGGAAGACAGTGTGGCAATTCCTCAAAGACTTAAAGACAGAAATGCTATACTATCCAGCAATCCCATTACTGGGTATATACCCAAAGGAATACAAACTGTTCTATTATACAGACACATGCATGCTTATGTTCGTTGCAGCACTATTCACAATAGCAAAGACATGGAATCAACCTAAATGCCCATCAGTGAAAGACTGGGTAAAGAAAATGTGGTGCATGTACACCACGGAATATTATACAGCCATAAAAAATAAGATTATGTTGTTTACAGAGACGTGGTTGGAGCAGGAGGCCATTATCCTTAGCAAACTCACAGAGGAACAGAAAACCCAATTCCACATGATCTCACTTATAAGTGGGAGCTAAATGATGAGAACACATGGATATATAGATGGGAACATCACACACTGGGGCCTTTCAGAGGGTGGAGGGTTGGAGGAGGGAGATGATCAGAAAAAAATAACTACTGGGTACCAGACACCTGGGTGATGACAATTTGTACAACAAACCCCCTGACACAAGTTTACCAATGTAACAAACCTGTGCTTGTACTCCTGAACTTAAAAGTCAAAAAAAACCTGTCCAAAATTTAAAAATCATGTAGAGTAGTATCCATACATTTCACAGATGCATCATATTTTCAAATGACTATTTAGCTGCATCAACAGAAATGTATTGAAGTGTTAAATTCCATCTGTCTATGCATTCCAGACCATATTAATTTTCTCCTTTTCTAAAATCCCATAGTATTTTGGCTCTTTAGTACAAATTACTATGGCTTGTTATCTCACTTATGTAGTGATGAAAGCCTCGAATCACCCAATGAGGCCAGAAAAAAATGTACTGTATTCTTCAATCTGAATCATACTTAGTACCTAGCTTAATACTATGTATTAGGTTGCACCAGAAAAAATTGCTAATATCTGAATATTTTTAATCTACAAATTGACAGTTTTATTTAGTACCACCTAATAGTTAATGGATAATCAATAAATACTTGTTGAACAGACAAATGAATTAAAATATAAAGAAAATTTATTATGTACATATTCTCAAAAACTTTGTTTAAGGCTAAATTGAGAAAATAAAACCTGAAAATTTCTCTTAATCAACAAGTGTTCTGTCTTTCCTGTGCTATTTTATGCAATGAAAATCTTACTATGTTTGTCAAACAAATTCAAATGAAACATTTTATAATATTTATCACATTTTTGTCTAATTTTGTTTTCAGTAAAATTATTAACAGACCAATAGAAGAAAAAATTTACATTCGTATTGATAACATTAGTTAACATTTGTAATTGATATAAGCATAAGGAGTTTATGCAATGACTACTTAAGCTATTTGCCCCTTCAATGGGAGATTTGCAGATTGTTTTATTGATGAACTTTGCTATTATCTTGATGCATAGAAGTCTTTTTTTTTGGCATCTGTCTTCATTGGATTTAATTTTATTTAAAATGTTAAAAAGAAATCATTTTGTTGAAAGAAATAGTATGACTGTACCTCCAAATTGGAGCTGACTGTGTCTTTGTAATGTTGATGCCAAAAATTTTTGTTGAAATAGTTGTAGTATATGGCAAAGTTAATACTTTATAAAGCCAGCAGATATAGTATGATTGCTTTTAAAATGTAATTACATAAGTAGGAAGCTTTAAATGTTCATATTATGTATGATAGTTCTGCTTAAAGTAACTAATTTTAAGACAATTATTAAGAACATGGACTTTGGAGCCAGTCTGCCTGGATTTGAATCTCAGCTCTTTCACTCACTTGTTATGCAACTTTGAAAAAGTTACTTAAAGTTGTGCCTTAGTTTTCTAATATGTAAAATGTTGATACTAATATTTATTTCATAGGTTAGATATGAGGATCAAATTAATTTATATATGTGAAGTAAACACTCTCTGATACATAAAAATACACTAAGAAATTAAAATTATGATTATTATTTGTTTTAAAAAGTGAAATATCTAGGCAAATCCAGTTGATTACTCACAAGTCTTTTTTTCTGATAATATTTATAAGTATTTTACTAAAGTATAATTTTCATACAACAAAATGCATAAATTTAAATGTACAGTTAAGTCTTGACAAATGTATATACCAAATACAATACACTAAATACAAATATATCAAATACAAATAAACTCAACACTCTATATATCACTGAAATTAAATGTTCATATTATGAAACAAGAAAATTCCTGTATCCAAGGTGAGTAAATACGTCTTTCTCAGAAGCAAGATTTTGATTGTTTTCAACAAGGAGTGCTTCATCTATTTCTGAAATAAATATACATGGAATTGAAATGGGAAAGGTTCCCTTGTCCTCCACGCAGGGTGTGCAATGGGGGTGTGGCTTGCTTCTTCAGTACCCTGCTTTTCAAACCTCTAGGGGAGCACACAGATGGGCAGGCCGTGGGGTTCCAACCCCACAGCAGTGTCTAGGGGTGAATGTTTACAGTTCCTGAAGCCCCAGTGGGCGTGTGTTAGAGGTTGCTGTTTTAGTTTGCCATCTATGGGTAGCTTGTGTTAACCAGCTGAATTAGACCCCCTTCCTTATCACAAGGACAGAAGGTTTCTGTGTCCTGAGGTTTCTTGCCTTGGTGTACCGGAATAATTGGATCACACAGGGGCTTGGAGAATTAGTGCGAAGTTTTATTGAGTGGAAGTAGCTCTCCGCTGATGGGGGAGCCAGAAAGAAGATGGTTTTCCCATGGAGTTGGGCCACTTGGTGGCCCCGGCTCTCCTCCGACTGCCCCGGCCAAACTCACCCTTGTCCAACCCGTCAATGGCCTGCCTGCTGGCGAGCAGGTGCCTGTCAGAGCGCTCTTCTGCCAGAGTGCTCCTCTTGACGTCCTCTTGACTACCAGCCACTTGCGTCTTCTTCCACTGATGTGCTCCTCTCAACATCTGGTCACTTGTGTCTGCCCACTAGAGTCTCCGGTTTTTATAGGCTCAGGATGGGGGCATGGCAGGCCAGGGTGGTCTTGGGAAATGCAACATTTCGGCAGGAAATGCCTGTCCTCACCTAGGTCCGTGGGGCTGGAGCCCTAGGCAGTGACCTGCCTTTCTCTACCTGGCACTTCCCTTCCCGCCGTCTGTGTCATTTAAAGGGACTATGCTCTTCCCTTCCCAGCACTCTCGTGTCAGAATCATGCAGTATGCACTGTTTGGTGTCTAGCTTGTTTCTTTCATTACTACAGCTGTAAAATTCATCCGTGTTCTTGCATGTATCAGTAGTTTATTTCTTCATTTATTGCTAAGTATTGTTCTTGTTATGATATATTATAATTTATTTATCCATTCACCTGATGATAGACATTTAGGATATTATAAAGTATCCGTGTCCTTATAAAAAGTAGGAGACACATCAGCAGTGCACACACACAGAGAAAACGCCATGTGAGAACACAGCAAAAAGGCCATCTGCAATCCAGAGAGGCCTCAGGGGAAAAAAAAAAAAACTGCTGACATCTTGATCTTGGACTTCCAGCCCCCAGAACTGTGAGAAAATAAATGTCCATTGTTGAAGCCACACAGCGTGTCTTTTTCTATGGCATTCCTAGCACACTATACAGGACTCTATTCTCTTAACTGGTGTATTTATATTAATTTATGTACGTTTATTGTAAGTCTTCATATCTGTTGGGTAATTCCTCCAGCTTATTTCTTAACTTCCAAAGAGCTGACACTCCTAACTGTCTCATTTACAAATAATGAACATGATACATCTATTCATTATTTATATGCTCTTAAATCCCTTTCAAATGTTTTGTAGTTTTTAATGTGAAAGTATTACACCCCTTTTAGTAATTTCTAGATATTTCATGGCTTTTATTTCTATTGGAAATAGTATCCTTTATCCATTTTTCTAAATGCTTTCCACTAATATATAGAAATAATGCATAGATAGATATATTCAGCAACTTTGGTACTCACATTACTTTTCATAATTTACCTGAAGATTCTTTTTTCCCCATATTCAATCATGATATATTTTAACATTTATAGATTTGTTACTGTGATACAATGTTCCTAACTTTCATTTTTTTGTTTAGTCTTGTTACACTGGCTAGGATCTCTAGTAAAATATTGATGTAAAGTAGTAGGAGTGATTCTTGTTCAATGTCAGCGGAAAGCTTACAATAGATCAACATTTTGTGAGGTGTTGCTGTAGAATTTTTGTAAACATCACTTACATTAACAAAGTTCCCTTTTCATCTTAGTTCACTAAGCATTTTTTATGAATTGATGTTTAATGCTATCAAATATTTTTTACATCTATTGAGATTATTGCTTAATTTTCCCTATTAATTTTTAAATGATTTGTTACATTACATTACAAAGATTAGGCCAGCCATGCAATTTCTAGATTTTTACCAATATTGCAATAGGTTTCATATTGATTGATCCATATGCAAACAATTTGTTTAGGGCTTCTTTTCATCTATGTGTATGAGAGAGTATTGTCTGTATTTTAATTCAATGATAATGGTTTTGTGATGCTCTGGACAAAATAGTATGCTGACCTCCTAAAACTATTTGGAAAATATTTTATTTTTTTCTGTTTTCTGGAAAATTTTGTGTAATATTTATCTGATGCCCTCTTCTTATACTTAATGGAATTCACTGGTCAAACAACCTGAAGCTAGATTTTTTTTGTAGAAAGCATTTTACTTACATATTTAATTTCTTCATTAAATATAGAAATATTCAAGTTTCTTTTTGTTAAGTCACATTTGATAAACTGCATTTCTCTATGAATTTCTCATTTTTTAATTAATTTACAAATTTATTAACATGAAGATTTCTCATAATATTCTCTTATATTTAAATATCTGTTGAATCTCTAATGATGTACCTTTTTTTCTGACACTCTTGATTAAATATTTTCTGTCTTTGTTGAGAAATTTATTAACTTTAGTCTTTTCAAAAAGGGAAAATTTGGGTTGGATGATCTCTATGTGCTTGTTTTATATTGCAATAGTTTCCATTATTACCTTTATGATTCCTCCCTTCTGCTTTCTTAGGTTTAATTTGCTGTTTTTGTCTATTATTTGAAATGTATTATCTCATTGATTTCAGTCTTTTTATTATAATATCTGTTAATACTACAAATTATCCTCTATGTATGAACTTCGATGCCTTCTACAACTTCTGTACTTAGTATTTTCAGTAAATTCAGTTTAAAATATTTAAAATTTTATGTCATTTCTTCTTTGATCAATGAGCTATTTAGTAGACTATTTTTGTAATATAAAAATATGGGCTTTTATTCACAGTCACTTTGTTACTGATTTCTAGTTTAATTGTACTGTGATCAAACAGCATATGCTGTATGATTTCTATGTTTTTAAAATGATATTACATGCTTAATATTAAAACACAAAATAAACTATTGTGCTGTAGTTGTAATATTTCCAGTTTGAGGTGCAATAGAAGAACTAGCATAAATTTCTTTTTTCATCTTTACTATTACACAAATGGAAGATTTATCCTTATGTAAATCTTAGTAAACTTAGCATAGGATTTCTTTTCTTTTTCTTACTAACTTGAGAATGTTCATCTTTCCATTAAAGGAAGCACTGTATGGCTTCTCCTTGTCATATCCAAACAACCAGCATCACTACTCTTATTCTTAGGGTCCGTATGCTTTGTTCAAGGAAACACAAGCATAGCATTACTGCCATATTCAATTTGATAAATGGTGATGTCTACAAAGTAACAAACAGCTTAAACCGTAGATATACCAGAAAAAGGGATGATTCAGGTCCCAGATGGGATAGAGTGAGATGGCATAAAATTTCATCATGTTACTCAGAATGGTACACAGTTTAAAACATATGAACTCTTTATTTCTGGAATTTCCTATTTAACATGTTTGGATTGCAGTTGACAGTGGATAACCACAGATAAGAGGGACCTCCTGTATTGGTACTTAAATATAACATTTTACTCTTTGCTTTTAATTTTAACTGCATGACTTATGTTCATTTGCTTCTTATTTATTGCCTTTGGAATGATGTTTTTTGCTATCATCCCACTCTTCTTCTAAAAGCTTGATAGTTAAACACTTTTTCCTCGTATTATAATGTTTACTCTAAAAATACTAACACTCAAACTTGATTTTTAAAGGTTAATGCTAATTGATATTTTTCTCTTATTCTGAATAAGAATCACAGATCCAAACCATATTATAATGTTTCTTCTACCTGATGAACATAAACATATTTTATCATTTCCTCTCATTCATATCTGTGGATGAAGAATTTTCTGTTTGTAATTTATAAAATTTATTACTCTTTATTTTAATATGCAACCTACTTTGCATTTTTTCATATTTTATTTTAAATTTGGGGTACATGTGCAGGTTTGTTACATCAGTGTATTCAGTGATGTTGAGGTTTGGGATACAATTGATCCTGTCACCCAGGTAGTAAACATAATACCTAGTAGGTAGTTTTTCAACTCTTTCCCCCATCCTCTCTCCCCACACTAGTTGCCCCCAGTGTCTATTTTTCTCATTTTATGTCTGTGTGTACCCAATATTTAGCTCACACTTATAAGTGAAAATATACAATTATCCTTTTTTAAAGATATTCTTGTAGGTTATAATATATGGATTTAGATTCTAAACTGGTAGGTATACTCTTTCAGCTTTATCTGTTTTCAAAACAAATCAACTGAGCTTTTTACCTTTTTAATTATTTTTGGTTTTACTATTTTTATTTGTATATTTTCTGGTTCTTTGCTAAAATTTAAAATTTGTTTTTAGTTTCCTTGAGCATATTGAACATAATTATATTAAAGTTTCTCTCTCATAATTCTGTTACTTGGATGCCCTCTGTGACTGTTTCTATTAATTGTTATTTCACTTAATGTTTTGTCATGTCATCTTCTGTTTTCATATGACTGATTAGAATTGATTGGAAGAGGCTAGGGACACTAGCAAACCAGACTAATATAATTAAAAGGATCAAAAAAGAGTCAAAGATAAGCTTTAGTCACATAAATATCTAATCAAATTTCTATTCACTCTTCTCCTACAGTTGAGCTCTTTTGCATCCCAATCCAAATCAATGTGAAATTTTTAGAGAAGTATGGGTCAGCTTTCCAGCTTCTTCACAGCCTCTTAAGACTCAGCAATTTCTCTTAGGGGAAAAAATAGGCTCCAAAACTTGTTTCACTTTTCTGATTTTTTTTCTGCTTTCACATCTTGGCACTGTAGTTTCTCACTGCCTTGTTATATCCTCCCCCAGTTATTTTAAGTGATAGTTTTTAAATTCTGTCTAAGATTTTTAGGTGTTCACAGTTAGAATGATTTGCCCAAATTGCCTAGACAGCCAAAATCAATAGAATGAATACAATACACAGTGGCTTCTTTTGCACTTAGTTTTTTAAATTTTTTCAAACATTTATATGCAATACATTGTATAATTTCAATGTAAAGTTATATGAGTTTTAGTACTTGCATGCATATGTGTAATGACAAATGACAAAAATGACACAGAATAATTTCATTCACCCTAAAAAATCTGCTTATGCTATCCCTCTGAGGTCAAACCCTTCCTCTGTCCCTAATATCTGATAAGCCCTACTCTGTTTTCCATTCCTATGTATATTTTTAAATATTTTCCAGAATGTTAAAGAAATGAAATCTTATGTAATATTTTGAAAGAAGCTTCTTTTATTCATGGTAGTGCATAATTTATCCATGTCATGGAATGTATTAAGAGTTAATTCTTTTTGTGACTACATAGTATTCCATTGCGTGGATGTACCACAATTTGTCCATGAATTAAATTGTTGAAGGATTTCTTACTTATTTTCAGTTTTTGGAAGTTATGAATAAAATTGTTATATACATTTATGTACACAGTATTTAAATTGTTTTTAATTTGGGGCAATTATAAAAATTCTGCTACAAACATTCATGTACAAACATTTGTATAGATGTAAGTTTTCATTTTCTAGGGTAGAGACCTAGAAGTGGGATTGCTTGGTTATACACTAAGTGTATCTTCAAATATATATGAAATTTTGAAATTGTTTATCAGAGGAACTGTACCCTTTTATATTCTGCCCACCAATGTATAAACATTCCTGTAACTTTGCATGTTTGTTAGCACTGGTGATTGTTAATTATTTTTGTAAATTTCACCAATTCTAATAGGTATGTAGTGGTATCTCATTATGTTTTTAATCTAATGCCATTGTGTATCTTTTTATGTATTTATTTGCCATGTGTATTTATTTTTGGTTAAGCGTCTGCTCATATATTTTGCCCATGTTTAAATTGACTCACTGGTTTTGTTATTGCTGAGAATTGAGAGTTTTGAAAATATTCTGAAAAGTTTTTTGAAGGCTATGTGATTTTCCATTTTTTTTTAATTCGGTACTTTGCTTTTTTCATTGTCTTTTTTTTCTCTAACTTTAATTTTAATTTCCGAGGTACATGTGCAGGATGTGGAGGCTTGTTACATAGGTAAATGTGTGCCATTGTGGACCCCGACAGGTCCCAGTGTGTGTTGTTCCCCACGATGTGTCTTTCTGTTCTCATCATTCAGCTCCCATTTATAAGTAAGAACATGCAGTGTTTGGTTTTCTGTTCCTGCGTTAGTTTGCTGAGGAAAATTTCTTCCAGTTCCATCCATGTCCCTGCAAAGGACATGATCTCATTCATTTTTCTGGCTGCATACTATTCCATGGTGTTTGTGTACCACATTTTCTTAATCCAGTCTATCATTGATGGGAATTAAGACTGATTCAGTGTCTTTACTATTGTAAATAGTGTTGCAGTGAGAATACATAGGCATGTATCTTTATAACAGAATGATTTATACTCCTTTGGGTATATATCCAGTGATGGGTTTGCTGGGTCAAATGGTATTTCTGCTTCTAGGTCTTTGAGGAATCACCACACTGTCGTACACAATGGTTGAACTAATTTACACTCCAATCAACAGTGTAAAAGCATTCCTTTTTCTTTGCAACCTTGCCACCATCTGTTGTTTCTGGACTTTTTATTAATCGCCTTTCTGACTAGCATGAGATGGTATCTCACTGTGGTTTGGATTTGGATTTCTCTAATGATCAGTGATGTTGAGCTTTTTTTCATGTTGTTGGATACATGAATGTCTTCTTTTGAGAAGTGTCTGTTCAAGTCCTGTGTCCACTTTTTAATGTGTTTTAATTTTGTTTTTCTCTAGTAAATGTGCTTAAGTTCCTTGTAGATTCTGAATGTTAGACTTTTGTCAAATGGATAGATTGCAAAAAATTTCTCCCTTTCTGTAGGTTGTCTGTTCACTCTGATGATAGTTTCTTTTGTTCTGCAGAAGCTCTTTAGTTTAACTAGATCCCATTTGTCAATTTTTGCTTTTGCTGCAATTGCTTTTGGTGTTTTCATCATGAAATCTTTGCCTGTGCCTATGTCCTGAATGGTATTGCCTACATTTTCTTCTATAGTTTAGGGTTTTACATTTAAGTCTTTAATCCATCTTGAGTTGATTTTTGAATACAGTGTAAAGAAGGGGTCCAGTTTCAATTTTCTGCATATGGCTAGCCAGTTTTCCCAGCATCATTTATTAAATAGGGAATCCTTTCCCCATTTCTTGATTTTTTCATATTTATCGAAAATCAGATGAGTGTGGGTGTGTGGTCTTATTTCTGAGTTCTCTACTCTGTTCCATTGGTGTATGTGTGCTTGCTTTTGTGCCAGTACCATGCTGTTTTTCTTACTGTGTCCCTGTAGTATATTTTGAAATCAGGTAGTGTGATACCTCCAGATTTGTTCTTTTTGCTGAGGATTGTCTTGGCTATTCAGGCTCTTTTTGGTTCCATATACATTTCAAAATAGTTTTTTTTTTTCTAATTCTATGAAGAATGTCAATGGTAATTTAGTGGAATAGCATTGAATCTATAAATTACTTTGGGCAGCATGGCCATTTTCATGATATTGATTCTTCCTATCCATGAGCATGGAATACGTTTTCATTTGTTTGTGTCATCTCTGATTGCTTTGAGCAGTGGTGTGTAGTTCTCCTTAAAGAGATTCTTCACTTTCTTTGTTGGACGTATTCCTAAATATTTTGTTCTTCTTGTAGCAATTGTGAATCGGAGTGCATTCAAGATTTGGCTCTCTGCTTGCCTGTTGTTTGTGTATAGGAATGTTAGCGATTTTTTGTACATTGATTTTTGTATCTTGAGACTTTGCTGAAGTTGCTTATCAGCTTAAGAAGCTTTGGGGCGGCCGGGTGCGGTGGCTCACACCTATAATCCCAGCACTTTGGGAGGCCGAGGCGGGCGGATCACAAGGTCAGGAGATCCAGACCATCCTGGCTAACACAGTGAAACCCCATCTCTACTAAAAATACAAAAAATCAGCTGGGCGTGGTGGCAGGCGCCTATAATCCTAGCTACTCGGGAGACTGAGGCAGGAGAATGGCATGAACCTGGGAGGCGGAGCTTGCAGTGAGCCGAGATTGTGCCACTGCACTCCAGCCTGGGCGACAGAGCGAGACTCCATCTCTAAAAATAAAAATAAAAAGTAAAAATAAAAATAAAAAAAGAAGCCTTGGGGCTGAAACAATGAAGTTTTCTAGATATAGGATTATGTCATTTTCAAACAAAGATAATTTGACTTCCTATCTTCCTATTCGAATACCCTTTATTTCTTTCTCTTGCCTGATTTCCCTGGCCAGAACTTCCAATACTATGTTGAATAGGAGTGGTGGGAGAGGGCATCTTTGTCTTGTGCCAGTTTTCAAGAGGAATGCCTCCAGCTTTTGCCCATTAGGTATCCTATTGACTGTGGGTTTGTCATATATGGCTCTTATTATTTTTGAGGTGCGTTCCTTCAATACCTAATTTATTGAGAGTTTTTAACATGATGGGATATTGAATTTTTGCAAAGGCTTTTCTGCTTCTATTGAGATAATCATGTGTTTTTTGTCTTTATTTTTTTATGTGAGGAATTACATTTATTGATGTGTGTATGCTAAACCAGCCTTGCATCCCAGGGATGAAGCCAAAGTGATTGTGGAGGATAAGCATTTTGATGTGCTGCTGGATTTGGTTTGCCAGTAATTTATTGAGGATTTTTGCATCGATGTTCAACTGGGATATTGGCCTGAAGTTTTCTTTTTTTGTTGTATCTCTGCCAGGTTTTGGTATCAGTATAATGCTGGCCTCATACAATGAGTTAGGGAGGAGCCTCTCCTTTTCAATTGTTTGGAATAGTTTCAGTAGAAATGGTACCAGCTCTTCTTTGTACCTCTGGTAGAATTCAGTTGTTAATCCGTCTGGTCCTGGAATATTTTTGGTTGGTAGGCTATTTAACACTGCCTGAATTTCAGAACTAGTTATTGCTCTATTCACGGATTCAAGTTCTTCCTGGTTCAGTCTTGGGATGGTGCATGTAATTCTCTTAACAATGTCTTTTGCAGAGAAAAACTTTTACATTTTGATGAGGTCCAAATCATCCATTGTTTAGTTTTATAAATTGTATTTGTTTATGTCACATCTAAGAACTATTTTTCTATCTCAAGTATAAGAATATATTCTCTATGTTTTATCCTATGACTTTTACAGTTTTATGATTTTAAGTCTGCAATCAATTTTTAGATACTTTTTATGAGGTATAAGGTATGTGTCTAAATATATTCTTCATATGGATGTCCAATTATTCTAGAAATTGTTTTCAAAGAATTCTCTTGTTTTATCAAGCTGCCTTTGCATCTTTGTCAAACCCAATCGAGTATATTTTTGTGGGCCTATTACTTGACTCTCTGTCCTGTCTTATTGATCCACATTTCTATCTTTTTACAAAACAACACAATCTTGATTACTGTACCTTAATGGTATGTCTTAAATCAGGTACTATGAGTCTTCCAACTTTTTACTAGTTTTTCCAAATTGCTTTTCTTTCCAATTCTATTCTAGTTCCTTTGCCTATCCATCTAAGTTTTAAAATCAGTTTCTCTATATCTAAAAATAACTTTCACTAGAATTGTGAGATTTTAGTAAATTTGTAGATAATTTCGGAGGGTTCAACACCTTAACTATATTGAGTATTTCTTCCATGAATATAGATCTATTTATTTAGGTACTAGTTGACTTATTTCATGGTTTTATAAATACAGATTAATCACTTTTTTTATATTTATACCAAAGTACTTCGTGGCATAATCATAAATGATACTGTGTTTTAGATTAGGATATCTAATTTTTGTTTCTATTACATAGAAATAAGATTGATTTTTATGCATTCAGCTTGTATTTTGTGTTCTTTCTAAATGCACCTGTTAGTTTTAGGAGCTGATTAGGAACAATTTTACTTCTTTTTTTCCAAGATGTAAGCCTTTCACTTCTCTTTTGTGTTTTATTGCACTACCTAGGGCTTCCAGGACTCGGTTGAATAGAAATTATGGGAGTGGAGTACTTTGCCTTGTTCTGAATCTTAGCAAGAAAACATTCAGCCTCCCACATAAAGTATGATGCACAATTTTTGTAAATGCCCTTAATGACGTTGAATAAGTTTTCTTGTATTCCTGGCTTGTTGCATTTTTAGCATGAATAGATGTTGAATTTTTTAAAATGTTCTTTTCTACATCATTTGACATAATTATATAATTTTTACACTTAGTTTGTTGATATTGTGTATTGCATTGATTTATTCTCAAATATTGAACTAGACTTCTATGCCTAAGATAAATCCCACTTTGACTTGGTGTGTCATTTTCTTTATATTTTGCTAAATTTGATTTCCTATTTTTTGAAGATTTTTGCACCTATGTTTATGAGGTTTATTCATTTGCATTATTTGAATTGTAATTTTTTAATCTGGATATGCAAAAATGGTATCTTTTTTTTCTCTTAAATGAGTTGGAAAGGGTTCCCTCTCTTATTTGCTGAAAGAAACTATGCAGAATACATGCTATTTCTTCCTTAAAGAGTGGGTAAAATTTGTCAGTGAAGCCATCTGGGTCTGCAGTTAAATGTTCTGGAAGGTTTCTAAATATAAATTTAACTTTTAAAATAGTTTCACAACTATCAGATTTATCTATTTCTCCTTGCATGAGCTTTGATGGTTTGTGCATTTCAAGAAATGTCTCCTTTTCATAAAAGTTTTAAAATTCATTTACAAATTTTTCATATAATTTCTTATTCTTTTTATGTATGTAAGGTCTGTTGCCTGTTGTGATATTCCCTCTTTCATTCTTTCTTTTTCTTTTTTTTTTTTTTTTTAGATATGAGGTCTTTCTTTGTAACCCACCCTGGCGTGCAGGAGTGCAGTCATAGCTCACTGTATCTTGAACTCCTAGGCTCAAGTGATTCTCCTGCCCAAGCCTTCCAAGTAGATGAGACTATAGGTGTGAATTACCACATTTAACTAATATATATATATAAATATGTGTGTGTGTGTGTGTGTGTGTGTGTGTCTATATTTATCAATACAGGGCCTAGTTTCTTACACTATATTTTTTTCTTGGTTAGTCTTAATATTTTCTATTTTATGGATTCTTTTTTTTTTTAGATGGAGTCTCACTCTGTCTCCAGGCTGAAGTGCAGTGGCACTATCTCAGCTTAGTGTGATCTCTGCCTACCAGGTTCAAGCAATTCTCCTGCCTCAGCCTCCCGAGTAGCTGGGAATACAGGCGCATGCCACCACACCCAGCTAATATTTCTATTTTTAGTAGAGACGGGGTTTCACCATGTTGGCCAGGAAGGTCTCCATCTCCTAACCTCGTGATCCACCCTTCTTGGCCTCCCAAAGTGTTGGGATTACAGGTGTGAGCCACCGCACCCGGCCTGGATCTTTTTAAAGAAATAACTTTTGGATTGAATTCTACTTTTACCTTTATTATATTCTTTCTTCTTCTTAGTTTGGATCAGTTTATTCTCTCTTTTCTAGTTTGTTAAGACATAAATTTTAAATTATTGATTTGAGAACTTTATTATTTTCTAATATTGTCAAATAATTGTAATTTAATTTTTATTTTAATTTATTAAAAATGTCTTCTAATATTTTCACTTCCTTTAAAATTAAACTTTAAAAAATTGAAGTAAAAACCCATTAACAATTTTAAAGTGCCAAAATCAATTACATTTAGTAATACTCCAATGATGTGTAATTACTTACTTTATTTTGTTTCAAAGCATTTACATCATTCCAAAATAAAATCCTGTGCTCATTAAAATACTTCCTTTTTGATCAATGTGTTATTTAATTTAGAAGTGCAATTGTTTTTAATTTACCAATATGTGGGTATTTTCCAAATAACTTTCTAAATCTCTGACTTAACTCCACTGTGTTCAGGGAACATACTATTTGTGACTTTAATTATTATAAAATTTATAAGTTTTGTTATGTGACTCAGAATATGATACATCTTTGCATATATTCTATGTGCACTTGTAAAGAGGATTTTCTGTTGTTAAGTAGTATGCTCTATAATATCAATTATGTTATGTTGACTGATAGTGTTGTTGAGGTATTCTATAGTCTTGCTGATTTTCTATCTGCTGTTATTACTGATAACTAAGAAGTGGTTGTTAAAATTTCTAAGTATAATTGTGGATGTGTCTAGTTTTCCTTTAATTTTGTTTGCTTTTATTTCATGGATTCTGATGTTCTCTTGTTAGGTGAAAGTGTATTTAGGACTGATATGCCTCCTTGATGAGTAAATAATTTTATTTTTATATAACATACCTCATCCCAAGGTTGTTGTTTTTAATTAGTGTTTGCATGACATACCACTTTTCATCCTTTTAATAACTGTAGTTTATGTGGGTTTCTTGCAGGCAGCACATTGTTAGTCTTGTTTTGTTTTTTAATCCTCACAATCTTTGTCTTTTAAATGGTGTGCTTAGGTCATTTACATTTTAGGTAATTACTTATATGTTTGTACTTAGGCCTATTATTTCATCATTTGTTTTATTTTTGCATATTCTGTATCTCCATCTTTAGATTATTTGTATTATTTTTATACTGGCTTTGCAACTCTATTTATTTGCATATTTTCTTTAGCAGTTGCTCCAGGCTTCAAATATACATATATTTATTTATACATGTATAAATGCACAAAAGGGGACTTCAAAAAGATCATGGAAAATGATATTTTAAAATAAAAATATAGAGTATAAATTTTATTTCTCAATATAAGCTTCATCAAGTTCCAAACAGTTTTGTAAACAATGATTTGGGTCGATTCATTCTGCCTTAAAGGTCCTGGGAATTTAGCCATGTCAATGCAGCTTTTCTTTACATAATTAACTGAGAAAATGTGTGCCCTTTACAGTTTTTTAAGATTAGGAAACAAAAATAAGTCAGATGGTGCCAAATCAAGACTGTATGATGGATGCCTAATAATTTTCCATTGAAACTCTCGTAAAAGATTCCTTATTTGATGAGAATAAGCATGGGAATTGTGACAGAGAACTCTCTGGTAAAGCTTTCCCCAGTGGTTTTCTCCTAAACATTTGGCTACCTTTCTCAAATCACTCTCATAATAAGCGAATGTTATCATTCTTTGACCCTCCAGAAAGTTAACAAGCAAAATGCCTTGACCATCTGAAAAATCTGTTGCCATTACCTTTTCTCGACCTGTCCACTTTTGCTTTGACTGGAACACTTCTACCTCTTGATAGCCATTGCTTTCGTTCTGCTTTGTCTTCGGGATCATACTGGTAAAGCCATGTATTATCTCCTGTTACAAGTCTTTGAATACATGTTTCAGCATCTTCATCCCATTGTTTGACATTTCCAATGAAAACTCTGCTCTTATCTGCAGATGACCTGGGTGCAATGGTTTTGGCACCCATCAAGTGACAAATTTGCTCAACGTCAACTTTTCATCCAGAATTGTGTAAGCTGAACTAATGGCTACGTGCATGATTTTGGCTATTATTGCACGTGTTAATTGTGGGGCCTCTCCAAATAGGGTGTGAACAAGATGAATTTGTTTTTTGGAAATTGATGTGGATAGTCTGCTGCTGAGGCCTTCACCTTCAACTTTTTTTTATCCCTTCTGAAAATGAGTTATTCATCATAAACTGCTGGTTTCTTTGAGGCATTGTCCCCATAAATTTTTTGTAAAGCATGAATGTCATCATTTTTTCACTCAAACTTCACCACAAATTTGATGTTTATTCTTGCTTCAATTTTTGCAGAATTCATGTTCATTTTTGTCATATTTATCATATCTACATACATTGATAAGCTCAAAATCATACCAGTAAAATAATATCTTTTTTCTTTAAATTGTCCAACATACTTTAAAGAACTCAAGTGATCTAAAATAGTACATTATATTTACCAATGTCGTTTATATTTCCTCGTTCTTAAATTTCTGTTTTTCTTCTGTTATTCTTTTTCTGCATGAAGGACTTTCACTAGAATTTCTTTTAAACAGATCTAATGGCAACAAATTCTCTTAGTTTTCCCTCATTTAAGAATGTCTTTATTTTGCCTTTATTCTTAATGGATATTTTTGTTTACTTTTAGTTGAAAAATAAAATTGTATATATTTATGGTTTACAAAATAATGTTTTGATATACGTATACATTGTGGAAAGGCAAAATCCAGGTATCAGAGGCAACACCTCATCTACCTATCATTTTAGGAAGGCGAGAGCACAAAATCTACTCTCTAAGCAATTTCCAAGTATATGTTATATTGTTATTAAGTATAGTCACCATTATGTACAATAGGTCTCAAACTTATTTCTCCTAATTGAAATGTTATGTCCTTTGACAAACATCTCCCCAATCCTCAACGCTCCCTACAGCTTCTTCTAACTACCATTTTACTCTCTGTTTCTAAGAGTTTGATATTTTAAATTCCACATATAAGTCAGATAACATGATCTTTTTCTTTCTGTGACTGGCTTATTTCACTTAACATAATGTTTGACAGATTCATACATATTTTCACAAATGACAAGATTTTCTTCTTCCAAAAGGCTGAACAGTATTCCATTGTGCATATACACCATGTTATGTTTATTAGGTTGATTCCACACCTTGACTATTGTGAATAATGATGTAATAAACATGGATCTCTTTGAGAAAGTGTTACTATTTCCTTGGATATCTACTTAGACAATGAATTGCTGGATCATGTTAGTTCTACTTTTAACATTTTGAGAAATGTTTATACTGTTTTCCACAATGGCTGTACAAATTTACATCCCTACTAACAGTTTTCAAGGGTTTCCTTTTCTTTGCATCATTGCCATCATTTGTTGTCTTTTGTCTTTTGGATAATAGCCATTCTGTCAGATGTGAGGTGGTAACACATTGTGACTTTTATTTGCACTTCCATAATAATTAGTGATGCTGATCATTTTTCTCAAATATCTCTTGGCCATTTGCAATTCTTCTTTCGAGAAATGCCAATTCAATTTACATCCTTTGCACATAAAAAATAAAAATCATATTGTTTTCTTGCTATGAAGTTGATTTAGTCTTGGTAGGTTGTATGTTTATAGGAATTTATCCATTTCTTCTACATTATTCAACGTGTTGGTGTATATTTGTTCATAGTAGTCTCATGATACTTTGTATTTCTGTGGCAACGCTTGTAATGTTTCCTTTTTCATTTCTTATTGTATTTGTTTAAGACTTCTCTCTTTTATTCTTAGCTAGTCTAGCTAAAAGTTTGTCCACTTTGTTTATCTTTTCATAAAATCAATTCAGCTTTGCTCATCTTTCTTATTGTTTTTACATTCTCCATTGTGTTTATTACTGCTCTTATCTTTACTATTTTCTTTCTTCTACCAACTTTGGGCTAGTTGTTTTTTTTTTTTTTTCTAGTTTCTTACAGAATAACACTAGGCTGTGTATTTGCTGTCTTTCTTCTTTTTTGATATAAATGTTTATTGTTTTAAACTTCCCTCATAGAGCTGCTTTTGATGCATTTGATGTGTTTTGGTATGTTGTATTTTAATTTTCACTTGCCTCAAAATATTTTTAAACTTTCCTTTTAATTTCTTCTTTGAGCCATTGTTTATTTACATACATGTTTAATTTTCATATATTTGTAAATTTTCTAAAATTCCTTTTATTATTAATTTCTAGTTTTAAATCATTGTGATCAGAAATATACTTGATATGATCTCAATCTTATTAAAGTTTTAAAGATTTTTTGTGGCTTTATTTATGATCTACCCTGCAAGTGTTCTGTATGCACTTGAAAAAATGTACATTCTGCTACTGATGAATGAAATGCTATATATATGTTTGTTAGGTCCATTTGGTTTAAAGTGTAGTTCAAATCCAGTATTTCCTTTTTGATTTTCTCTCTGCTCTGTCTATTGTTGAAAGGGTAGTATTGAAATCCTCTATTTTTGTATTGTAGTCTATCTTTCTATTCAGATCTATTAATATTTGCTTTATATATTTAGATTTTATATTTTTCCATGCATATATATTATTATTATATCTTCTTGATGAATTCAACCTCATATTAGTATATAGTGACCTTTCATTTGCCTTATAGTTTTTAACTTAAAGTCTATTATTTCTTGCTTTATTTTGAACTTTTATTATAGTTCAGGGGTACATGTGCAGGTTTGTTACATAAGTAAATTTGTACCATGAGAATTTATTGTACAGATTATTTCATCACCCAGTTATTAAGCCTGGTACCTGTATGAGTCCATTTTCTGGCTGCCGATAAAGACATATGTAAAGACTGGGCAATATACAAAATAAAGAGGTTTAATAGACTAACAGTTCCACATGGCTGGGGAGGCCACACAATGATGGTGGAAGGTGAAAGGCATATTTCACATGGTGGCAAACAAGAGAAGAGAACTTGTGTAGCAAAACTCCCCTTTATAAAACCATCAGATCTCATTAGACTCATTCACTATCATGAGAATAGCATGGTAAAGACCTGGCCCCATGATTCAATTATCTCCCACTGGGTCCCTCCCACAATATGTGAGAATTATGGGAGCTATAATTCAAGATGAGATTTGGGCAGCAACACAGCCAAACCATATTATTCCACCCCTGGGCCCTCCGAAATCTCATGTCCTTAGATCTCAAAACCATTAATGCCTTCCCAACAGTCCCCAAGGCCTTAATTCATTTCAGCATTAACTCAGAATTCCACAATCCAAAGTCTCATCGAAGATAAGGCAAGTCTCTTCCACCTATGAGCCTGTATAATCGAAGGCAAGTTAGTTACTTCCTAAATACAATGGGGGTACAGGCTTTGGTGAAATTCACCTGTTTCAAATGAGAAAAATTGGCCCAAACAAAGGAGCTACAGGCCCCATGCAAGTCCAAAATCGCTGTCAAATTTTAAAGTTCCAAAATGATCTGCTTTCACTCCATGTCTCACATCTGGTTCATGCTGATGCAAGAGATGGGTTCCATGATCTTAGGCAGCTCTGCCCCTGTGGCTTTGCAGGGTACAGCTTCCCTCCAAGCTGCTTTCAAGGGCTGGTGTTGACTGTCTGCAGCTTTTCCAGGTGCATGGTGTAAGCTGTCTATGGATCTACCATTTGGGGTTCTGGAAGATGGTGGGCCTCTTTTCACAGCTCCACTAGGCAGTGTCCCAGTGGGGATTTTGTGTAGTGGCTCCAGCCCCCTATTTCCCTTCTGCACTGCCCTAGCAGAGATTCTCCATGAGGGCCCCACCTCTGCAGCAAACTTCTGCCTGGACACCCAGGCATTTCCATCCATCCTCTGAAATCTAGGCAGACGTTCCCAAACCCCATTTCCAGACTTCTGTGCACTTGCAAGCTCAATATCATGTGGAAGCTGCCAAGGCTTGGGGCTTGAATCCTCTCAAGCCACAGCCTGAGCTCTATGTTGGACCCTTTTAGCTGGAGCAGCTGAGACACAGGGCACCAAGACCCTAGGCTTGTACAGGGATCCTGGGCCAGGCCCACAAAACCATTTTTTTCCTCCTAGGCCTCCAAGCTTGTGATGGGAGGGGCTTCCATGAAGACCGCTGACATGCCCTAGTGACATTGTCTTGGGGATTAACATTCAGCTCCTCCTTACTTATGCAAGTTTCTTCAGCTGTCTTGAATTACTCCTCAGAAAATTGAATTTTCTATCACATTGTCAGGCTGCAAATTTTTCAAACTTTTATGCTCTGCCTCTCTTATAAAACTGAATGCCTTTAACAGCACCCAAGTCACCTCTTGAATGCTTTGCTGCTTAGAAATTTCTTCCACCAGATAGCCTAAATTATCTCTCTCAAGTTCAAAGTTCCACAAATCTCTAGGGCAGGGGCAAAATGCCACCAGTCTCTTTGCTAAAACATAACAAGAATCACCTTTGCTCTAGTTTCCAACAATTTCTTCATTTCCATCTGAGACCACCTCAGCCTGGATTTCATTTTCTATGTCATTATCAACATTTTGTCAAAGTCATTCAACAAGCCTCTGGGAAGTTCCAAACTTTTCCACGTTTTTCTATCTTCTTTTAAGCCCTCCAAACTGTTCCAACATCTCCCGGTTACTTAGTTACAAATTTGCTTCCACATCTTCTGGTATCTTTGCAGCAGCACCCCAATACTGGCTGTATTAGTCCGTTTTCATGCTGCTGATAATGACATACCTGAGACTGGGCAATTTCCAAAAGAAACAGATTTAATGGACTCAAAGTTCTATGTGGTTGTGGGGGCCTCACAACCCTTGCAGAGGGTGAAAGGCACATCTCACATGGCAGCAGAGAAGAGAAGATAACTTGAGCATGGAAAATCCCCTTTGTGAAACCATTGGATCTCATAAGACTTATTCACCATCATGAGGATAGCATGGGAAAGGCCCGCCCCTATGATTCAATTATCTCCCACCATGCTCCTTTCACAACCCATGGGAGTTATGGGTGCTACAATTCAAGATGAGATGTGGGTGGGGTCACAGTCAAACCATATCAGTACCCATTAGTTATTTTTTTCTGATCCTCTCCCACCTCCCACCCTTCACCATCCAAAAGGCCCCAGTGTGTTTGTCCCCCTCTGTGTGTTCATGTTTTATCATCATTTAACTCACACATACAAGTGAGAACATGTGGAATTTGGTTTTCTGTCCTTTTCCTGTGTTTGCTAAAGATACTGGCCTCTAGTTCCATCCATGTCCATGCAAAGGACATGATCTCATTTTGTATGGTTGCATAGTATTCCTTGATGTATATGTACCACATTTTCTCTATCCAGTCTATCATTAATGGGCAAACTCACTAGCATTTCTATATACTAACAACAGGCAAGCCAAGAGCCAAATCAGGAATGAACTCCCATACACAATTGCCACAAAAAGAATAAAATATCTAGGAATATAGCTGACCAGGGAGGTGAAAGATCTCTACAAAGAGAACTACACCACTGCTCTAAGAAATCAGAGAGGACATAAGCAAATGGAAAAACATTTGGTGCTAATGGAAAGGAAGAATCAAAATCCTTGAAATGGCCATTCTGCCCAAAGCAATTCATAGATTTAATTCTATGTCTATTAAACTACCATTGAGATTCTTCACAGAACTAGAAAAAAACTATTTTAAAATTTGTATGAAAACAACAAAGAGCCCTTATAGCCAAGACAACCCTAAACAAATGACCAAAGCTGGAGGCATCATCCTATGTGGCTTCAAACTATACTACAGGGCTACAGTAACCAAAATGGCATAGTACTGGTACAAAAACAGACACATAGACCAATAGAACAGAATAGAGGACCCAGGTATATGACCACACACTTACAACTATCTTATCTTTGACAAACCTGACAAAAACAAGCAATGAGTAAATGATTCTCTGACAAGCCACATGCAGAAGATTTAAACTGGACCCCTTCTTTACACCATATACAAAAATTAACTCAAGATGGCTTAAAGACTTAAATGAAAAATCCAAAACTATTCAATCCCTGGAAGACAACCTAGTCAATACCATTCAGGACATAGGCACAGACAAAGATATCATGACAAAGATGCCAAAAGCAATTGCAACAAAAGCAGAAACGGACAAATAGAGTATATTTTATCAGATATTAGTATAGCTACAGATTCTCTCTTTTGACTTTTCTTTACATGGAATATGTTTTTATCTCAATGTCTTGAATAATATGTTTTATGAAGATAGAATTCTTTGTTTTCAGCTCTTTTCTTGAAGCACTCTATAAATGTTAGTCTACAGTTTTCTCATCTTCCTGGTGTCTGATGAGAAATTGTCAATAAAATTGTACTTTGCACATGTGTAATGTGCTTCTTAGGCTCCTTTCAAGATTTTTTTTAAATCTTTAACTTATTTGACTATGATGTGTTTGTGCATAGTTTCCTGTGAATTTACCCTTCTTATGGTTTGCTGAGCTTCTTGGACCTGGAAATGTATACATTTCAGAAAAATTGAGAAATTGTCAGACATATTTTCAAATATTCTTTTACAAGAGTCTCTTGCTCCTCTCTTTATATAATAATCAAACTCAAAATATATAAATGCTAGATTTTTTATATTGTCACATTGATCCCTGAAGCTTTGTTCATAATTTTTAAATCTATCTTAATTTTTGATTTTCATATAGAATAATTTCTATGGACCTTTCTGGAAATTCACTGAGTCTATTTTCTGTTATGCCATTCTGTTATCACATCTCTCTTGTAATTTGAGGGTACTTTTTAGCACTAAAATTTCTATTTGGTTCTCTTTCTTCACTGTTTTATTTTATTCAATGCAATTACATTTCTAAACATCAAGGTTGGTGTCTGATAATTGTCTTGTCCCACGGGAGTTAAGTGGGTTTTTTTTGTTGTTCTTTATATGTCAAATAATCTGAAATTGTATCTTGGACATGTTAAATATTATGTTAGGAGACTCTGTGTCCTATTAAAATTTTCTGGAAAATGTTGATTTTTTTTTTTTTTGTTTTTGTTGTTTTATATAGTAGTCAAACTGTTTAGGTTCAAACCAGAAGTCCTGACTCCCTTCTGTGGGTTGTGTTTTAAATATTTGTTTAATGTTAAATGTTTTTTCACTGCTCTTCTGATTTGTCCTATGTTTATCCCACTTTGGGGCTAGTCTGGAACAAGTCATGTATAACTGTGCTCTAGTTCTCAAAGTTTACCTACATTTATTCCAGTTATTTCTATGCATGTTCAATTTAAAGACAAGTTCAGGACATTATATACATATTTAATGTATCTATTCCTCTCATTCCTTTTTTTTTCAATGATTTCCCTCAAACTATCTAGTTTTCAGTGATTAGATTTCTTGATGGTCTGATTAAAAAGCCAAGGATATTTCTTCTCACAGCTGTCATACCCCTTTTGGAAATACATACATTTGTGGGAAAAGCAGCAAGATAGAATCTTTAGTGCTTTCATGCCCACTGCCACCCCGCTGTTGCTTCGCCTTCATTACTGGGGCTCACTTGAGGGAGTTCTAGGAAGTTAACAAAAATAAAACAAAACACAAAAACTATTCTCACATGGGACACCATATATAGTTTTCTTACTAAAGACAAACTGTTTTAGTCTGTGCTATTTCTGTTCATTCTTTATTGTCATTTTGGGAGATATGGTAGTCTGTACTGGACAATATGAGAGATGAAAGCTAATCAAAACAAAAATAAAACTTAACAAAACAACAAAAACACAGGTAACTTACTCCCATATAATCACACAATTTTCATATTTCTATCCAGTCTGCCTGTCCTTATTCTTTTTTTTTTTTTTTTTTTTTTTTTTTTTGAGACGGAGTCTTGCTCTGTCACCTAGGCTGGAGTGCACTGGCGCAATCTCGGCTCGCTGCAAGCTCCGCCTCCCAGGTTCACACCATTCTCCTGCCTCAGCTTCCCAAGAAGCTGGGACTACAGGCGTCTGCCACCACGCCCGGCTAATTTTTTTGTATTTTTAGTAGAGACGGGGTTTCACCGTGTTAGCCAGGATGGTCTTGATCTCCTGACCTCGTGATCTGCACGCCTCGGCCTCCCAAAGTGCTGGGATTATAGGCGCGAGCCACCGCACCCGGCCCCTTATTCTTATTTTTTAAGATTTTCAATAATTGATTTTAGTATTTTGTCCAGAGATTTTAGTTATAATCTGATCTATGGGAGATAAGATAGAGTGTGTTTACTTCATGTTAATAAGAACCAGCAATTTATAACATCACATGCACCTCAAACTGTCAAGATACGATTTTTAAAGTTGTTTAACTGGGTTTTTGAAAAGTAATTGTTATTGTCATAAGTCAAGAGAAATATTAGCAATGATGCTAACCAGTTTCACCTAAATCTAGGTGCTACCATTTCCAAAATAGAAAAGCAATGTCGAAGTATGCACAACTAGGTAACAGTGCTATAAAATAAATTTTAACATTTTATTAAATCATAAAAGCTGTTTCTAAATATACATTAATATTGAAACATAAACGGCTGCTTGAAAATCTTGTATTTTTACGACGGTATAAATTGTGACCTCTGCATTGTGGCACAGATGCTGGTGGATTTGTGAAATTGCCCAGAATCAAAAAAAAAAAAAAAAGAAAAGAAAAAGAAAAAACAGAAATCAAAACAGAAAGATGAGTGGTTCAAGCAAGATAGCAGAACAGAAGCCCATGTCATTCATCATTCCCATTGGAACACTAATTTTAACAAAGATCTGCACACAGAAAACCACCATCATTAGAATCAAAATCCAGGTGAGCAATCCAAGTAATGGTTTTAAACTCATATTCATATTACTGAAAAAAGCATTACAAAGGGGAGGAGAGACAGTCTTGACTGTCCAATGCCACCCCTCCTCCATCCACTGGCAGTAGCTGAGCTATACAGAGAGAGAATCTGTGCACTTTGGGAAGAAAGAGTACAGAAAATGGGGAAGTTTACACTGAACTCAGTGCTGCCTTGTCACAGTGGAGAATATAGTTATACTGCGCTCAGGCAGCACACACACGGTAGCCAGTGGGGAATCACCCATCCCAGTGGTCAGAATTTGAGTTTCTCAGCAAGCCTCACCACTGTATGCTAAAGTTCTCTGGCATCCTAGGTAAACTTGAAAGGCAGTCTAGGACACAAGGACTGCAATTTTTAAACAACTCTTAGTTCTAAGCCAGGCTTAGAGCCAATGAAGTAGGGTGGCACATGATGTTAGGAGAAACCAAATGGTGCAGCTAAGGGTGTATTTGGAACATCACTTCCACAACTTCAGACAGTACAGTTCACAGCCATGAACTTGACTCATTCCTTTTGCTTAAGGAGAGAAGAACAAAGAGTAAAGTGGGCTTTGTTTTGTGTCTTGAATACCAAGTCAGCCACAGTAAGATAGGGCACAAGGTAGAGTCATGAGGCCCCCATTACAGGCTCTAGCTCCTGAAAAACATTTACAGATTGTATTAGTTCATTTTCATACTGCTATGAAGAAACACCAAAGAATGGGTAATTTATAAAGAAAAAAATTTCAATGGAATCACAGTTCCACATGGCTGGGGAGGCCTCAAAATCATGGCAGAAATTGAAGTAAGAACAAAGACACATCTTTCATGGTGGTAGTCAAGAGTGTGTGCAGGGGAACTACCCTTGTAAAACCATCAGATCTCCTGAGACTTATTCAGTATCACGAGAACAGCACAGGAAAAACCCACCCCCATGATTTAATTACCTCCCACTGGGCCCCTCCCACCACATGCAGGGATTATGGGAGGTACAATTCAAGAAGAGATTTGGGTGGGGACACAGCCAAACCATATTATTCTGCCACTGGCCTCTCCCAAATCTCATGTTCTCGCAATTCAAAACACAATTTTGCCCTTCCAACAGTCCCCCAGTGTCTTATCTCATTTCAGCATTCATTCAAATGTCCACATTCCAAAACCCCATCTGAGACCAAGCAAGTCTCTTCCATCTATGAGCCTGTAAAATCAAAAGCAAGTTAGTTACTTTGTAGATACAATAAGGGTAGAGGCATTGGGTAGATACAACCATTGCAAATGGAGGAAATTTGAAAAATGAAGGGGCTACAGGCCCCATGTGAGTCCAAAATCCAGTGGGGCAGTCAAATCGTAAGGCTGCAAAATGATCTCCTTTGACTCCATCTGGTCTCACAACCAGATCACACTGATGCAAGAGGCCATGGCCTTGGGCAGTTCTGCCTCTGTGGCTTTGCACGATACATCCCCCCTTCTGGCTGCTTTCACAGGCCGGCACTGAGTGTCTATGGCTTTTCCAGGCACATGGTGCAAGCTGACCGAGGATCTACCATTCTGGGGTCTGGAGGATGGTGGGCCTCTTTTCACAGCTCCACTAGGCAGTGCCCCAGTGGGGACTCTGTTTGGGGGCTCCAAACCCACATTTTCCTTCTGAACTGTCCTAGCAGAGGTTCTCCATGAGGGTTCCACCTTTGCAGCAAATTTCTGCCTGGATATCCAGGCCTTTCCATACATCCTCTGAAATCTAGGTGGAGGTTCCCAAACCTCAATTAATTGACTTCTGTGCACCTGCAGGCTCAACACCATGTTGAAGCTGCCCAGGTGTGGGTCTTTCACCCTCTGAAGCCACAGCCTAAGCTGTACCTTGGCCCCATTTAGCCATGGCTGGAGCATCTGGGATGCAGGGCATTAAGTCCTGAGGCTGCTAACAGCAGTGGGGCCCTGGATCCAGCCCAGCAAACCACTTCTTCCACCTAGGCCCTTGGGTCTGTAATGAGAGGGGCTGCCACGAAGGTCTCTGACAGGCCCTGAAGAGATTTTTCCTATTGCCTTGGCAATTAGCATTTGGCTTCTCATTACTTACGCAAATTTCTTCTGCCATTTTGAATTTCTCTCCAGGAAATGGGTTTTTCTTTTCTACTGCATTGTCAGGCTACAAATTTTTCAAACTTTGATGCTATGCTTCCTCTTGAACATTTTGCTGCTTAGAAATTTATTCTCCCAGATACCCTAAATTATCTCTCTCAAGTTCAAAATTCCACAGGTCTCTAGGGCTGAGGCAAAATGCCACCAGTCTATTTTTACAGCAAGAGTAACCTTTGCTCCAGTTCCCAATAAATTCCTCATCTCCATCTGAGACCACCTCAGCCTGGACTTTATTGTCCATATCACTATTAGCATTTTGGTCAAAGCCATTCAACACTTCTCTAGGAAGATCCAAACTTTCCCACATCTTCCTGTCTTCTGATCCCTCAGAGTCTCTAGGGGGTTCCAAACTTATCCACATTTTCCTGTCTTCTTCTGAGCCCTCCAAACTCTTTCCACTGCTGCCTGTTACCCAGTTCCAAAGTTGCCTCCACGTTTTCGGGTATCCTTATAACACTACCCCACTCTACCAGTACCAAGTACTCTATTAGTCCGTTTCTATACTGTTATGAAGAAATACCTGAGACAGGGTAATTTATAAAGAACAAAAGGCTCAATGGACTCACAGTTTCACATGGCTGGGAAGGTCTCACAATCATCACAAAAAGCAAAGGAGGAGAAAAGGCATGTCTTACATGGATGCAGGCAAGAGCGTGTGCAGGGGAACTGCCCTTATAAAACCATCAGATCTGCTGAGACTTATTCATTATCATGAGAAAAGCATGGAAAAAAACCGAACCCCGTAATTCAATTACCTCCCACTGGGTTCCTCCCACAACTTGTGGGGATTATTTATGGGAGCTAAAATTCAAAATGAGATTTGTATGGGGACACAGCCAAACTATATCATAGACCACACTGGTACAAAAGGGAACCTGCTGCTTTGAAGGGAAGGATCCAGTCCTTATAGGATTCAGCACTTGCTGAATAAAGAGCCCTTGGGCCCTGAATAACCAGAAGAAATACCTAGTGAGTACACCATAGGCCTTGGTCTCTGAGATATGCTGGCTTCATGGGTGACCCAGTATACTCCTAGATGTAGTTGCTGTGATGAAAGCTTCCTTCTGTTTGGGAAAATGAACAGAAAAAATTAAGGGGGATTTTGTCTTGCACCCTAGGTAGCAGCTCAGCCACAGTAGGGTAGAGCAACATGCAGGTTCTTGGGGTCCATGCCTCTGGGCCTGGGCTCTTGGACAGCATTTCTGGACCTGCCCTGGGCCACAGAGGAGGCCACTGGCCTGCCAGAATCCTTCCTGGATAGGTGGCATTAGTGGCCACAGAGAGAGGCTCCTCTGGCTATGTAATGTGGATGGAAGAATGGGAAGGATTTCATATTGTGATTAGAGTGCTAGTTTAGCCACAGTAAAATAAAATATCACGTAAATTGCTAAGGTTTTTTAGTCCAACCCCTGGTTTCCGGACAGCATATCTGGACATGCCCAGGGCCTCGGGAAACAGGCTGCCTTGACAATAAGGGCCTTGGGTAAGGCCCAGTGCTGTGCTAGCTTCAGATCTGACCAAGCACAGTCTGTTGTGGTGGCTACAAGGGTGCTTGCATCATCACATCTCCAGTATCAGGTGGCTCAGTGCAGAGAGACTCTATTTCTTTAGGAGAACATAAGCACAAAGAAGAGTCTTTTCTTGGTAATCCAAAGAATTCTTCCACATATTATTCAAGACCACCAAGGTGGTACCTCTATGATTCTGCAATAGCTAGTTTTATTGGGCTTGGGGCCCAAGTCCCTTTGAATACATAAAAGCCTTCCCAAGAAGAGCAGGTATTAACAAGCCCAGACTGTGAAGACTACAATAAACATACAACTCTTCAGTGCCCAGGAACCAATGAATATCTACAACCATTAACACCCAGTAGAAAATCTTGACCTCACCAAATGAACTAAATGAGGCACCAGGGACCAATCCAGGAGAAACAGAAATATATAATTTTTCAGACATAGAATTCAACATACCTATGTTGAGAAAACTCAAAGAAATTCAAAATAATACAATGAAGGAATTCAGAATTTTATCAGGTAAATTTAACAGAGATTGAAATAATTAAAAACAATCAAACAGAAATTTGAGAGTTGAAAAATGCAAATAACATGGCAGAAAATACATCAGAGTCTCTTAGTAGCAGAATTAATCAAGCAGAAGAAAATTTAGTGAGCTTGCAGACAGCGTATTTGAAAACACAGTCAGAGGAGACAAAAACAGGAATAAAAAACAATGAAGCATGCCTAGAAGACATAGTAAACAGCCTTGAAAGTGCAAATCTGAGAGTTACTTGCCTTAAAGAAGAGGTACAGAAAGAGATAAAGGTAGAAAGTTTAATAACAGATAACTTCCCATACCTAAAGATATTGAAATTCAAGTACAAGAAGATTTTGGAATACCAAGCAGGTTTAACTCAAAGAACACTACTTCACACATTTAATAATGAAACTTGCAAAAGTCAAGGATAAAAAAGGATCCTAAAAGCAACAAGAGAAAAGAAACAAATAACATACAATGGAGCTCTGATAAATCAAGCAGCAGAGTTTTCAATGGAAACCATACAAGCAAGGAGGAAGCACCATAACATAAAGTACAGAGGGATAAAAAACTATTGCACTAGAACACTATATCTTGCAAAAAAAAAAAAATCCTTTAAGCATGAAGGAGAAAGAAAGACCTTCCTAGACAAACACAAGCTGAGGGATTTTATCAACAACAGGCCTGCCCAGAAGAAATTCTAAAGGAGTTCATAAATCTGGAGGAAATGGATGTTAATAAGCAAGTAATCATCTGAAGGTACAAAGCTGACTGTTAATAGTAAGTACACAGAAAAAAACAGAATAATATAATGCTGAAATTGTGGTGTGTAAACTTCTCTTAAGTAAAAAGACTAAATGATTAAAAAGTTAAAAATAATAACTACAGCAACTTTTTATGACACAGTACAATAAGACATAAAGGAAAACAAAAAATGTTATAAAGTGGGAGCATAGTTAAAGTGTAGAGTTTTTATTAAAATAATAAAAAATAAAGGTTGGAGCTGAAATAAAGAAAAAAGTACAAAAGATCAATGAAACAAAAGTAGATTTTGTAAAATCATAAAATTGACAAAACTCTAGCCAGTCTAAGACAAAAAGAGAATACCCAAATAAAAATCAGAGATGAAAAATGAGACATTATAACAGATACCACAGAAATTGAAAACATCATTTCTGGCTACTCTAAGCAACTTCTAGACACATACAGCCTACCAAGATTGAACTGTGAAGAAATCCAAAACCTGAGCAGACCAATAACAAGTAATGAGATTAAAGCCATAATAAAAAGCCTTCCAGTCCATAAAAGCCCAGGGCCTAATGACTTTACCAATAATTGGAAGAAGAATTAATATTAATTTTACACAAATAATTCCATAAAACTGAGGAGGAGGGAATACTTCCAAACTTATTCTACAAGGCCAGTACTACACTGATACCAAAACCAAACACACATCAAAAAAAGAAAACTGCAGGCCAATATCTCTGATGAATAATGATGCAAAAAAATCCCCAACAAAACATTACCAAACTGAATTCAACAATACATTAAAGATATGATTCATCATGACCAAGTGGGATTTATCCTAGTGATGCAAGTGTGGTTCAACATATGTTATCAATCAATATGATACATCATAAAAACATAATGAGGAACAAAAACCATATAATCATTTCAATTGATACTAAAAACACATGGGATAAAGTTCTACATTTCTTCATGATAAAACTCTCAAGACACTGGATATAGAAGGAGAATACCTGAACAAAATACAAGCCACATATGTCAGACCCACATGTAGTATTATTCTGAATGTGGAAAAACTGAAATCCCTCCTCTTAGATCTGGATCATGACAAGGATGCCCACTTTCACCAATGTAATTCAACATAGTACTGGAAGTTATAACTAGAGAAATCAGACAAGAGAAAATAATAAAGAGCATCTACATTGAAAAGGAATAAGTCAAATTATCCTTGTTGGTTGATGATATAATTTTATACTTGGAAAATCCTGCAAACTCCACTAAGAAAACTATTAGAACCCATAAACATATTCAGTTAATTTGAAAGACATAAAACCAACAAACAAAAATTAGCAGCAATTCTATATCCCAACAGTGAACAATCTAAAAAAGAATTAAAAAATTAATCACATTTACAATAACCACAACTAAATTAAATACCTAAGAATTAACCAAAGAAGTGAAGGATCTCTACAATAAAAACAATAAAATGCTGATGAAAGACATTGATGAGCACACACAAAAAAATGGAAAGATATTCCATGTTCATGGATTGGAAGTATCAATATGTTTAAAATGCCTACACTATCAAAAGCAATCTGCAGATTCAATGCAGTCTCTATTAAAATACCAGTGATGGCTGGGCATGGTGGCTCACACCTGTAATCCCAGCACTTTGGGAGGCCGAGGCAGGCGAGTCATGAGGTCAGCAGATGGAGACCATCCTGGCTAACATGGTGAAACCCCGTCTCTACTAAAAATACAAAAAAAAAAAAAATTTAACCAGGCATGGTGGCATGCACCTATATTCCCAGCTACTGGGGAGGCTGAGGCAAGAGAATCACTTGAACCCAGGAGGCGGAGGTTGCATTGAGCCAAGATAGCGCCACTGAACTCCAGCCTGGGCGACAGAGAGAGACTCCATCTCAAAATAATAATGATAATAATAATAATAATAATAATACCAATGACATTTTTCACAGAAACAGGGAAAAATATCCTAAAATTCACAAACAATGAAAAAAGACCCAGAAGAGCCAAAGGTATCCTGAGCAAAAAGGAAAAAAACAAAACAAACAAACAAACAAATAAAAAACAAACAGAGGAATCACGTAACTGAACTTCAAATTATACTACGGGGTGTAGTAAACAAATGGCATGGGACTGGAATAAAAAATACACACATAGATGAAGGGATGGCCTGCCCCTCCACACCTGTGGGTATTTCTAGTCAGGTGGGACGAGAGACTGAGAAAGAGAAATAAGACACAGAGACAAAGTATAGGGAAACAACAGTGGGCCCAGGGGACCTGCGCTCAGCATGTCAAGGACCTGCACCAGCACTGGTCTCTGAGTTCCCTCAGTTTTTATTGATTATTATCTTCATTATTTCAGTAAAAAGGAATGTAGTAGGAGGGCAGGGTGATAATAAGGAGAAGGTCAGCAACAAACATGTGAGCAATAGAATCTATGTCATAATTAAGTTCAAGGGAAGGTACTATGACTGGACGTGTACGTAAGCCAGATTTATGTTTCTCTCCACCCAAACATCTCAGTGGAATAAAGAATAACAAGGCAGCATTGCCGCAAACATGTCTCACCTCCCACCATAGGGTGGTTTTTCTCTTATCTCAGAACTGAACAAATGTACAATCAGGTTTTATACCGAGACATTCAGTTCCCAGGGTCAGGCAGGAGACAGTGGCTTTCCTCTATCTCAACTACAAGAGGCTTTCCTCTTTTACTAATCCACTTCAGCACAGACCCTTTACGGGTGTCGGGCTGGGGGACTGTCAGGTCTTTCTCATCCCACGAGGCCATATTTCAGACTATCACATGGGGAGAAACCTTGGACAATACCCAGCTTTCAAGGGCAGAGGTCCCTGCGGCTTTCCGCAGTGCACTGTGCCCCTGGTTTATTAAGACTAGAGAATGGCGATGACTTTTACCAGGTATACTGCTTGTAAACATTTTGTTAACAAGGCATGTCCTGCACAGCCCTAGATCTCTTAAATCTTGATTTCATACAACACATGTTTTTGTGAGCTCCAGGTTGGGTCAAAGTGGTTGGGTCAAAGTGGCTGGGGCAAAGCTACAAATTAACAACATCTCAGCAAAGCAATTATTTAAAGTACAGGTATTTTTCAAAATGGAGTCTCTTATGTCTTCGCTTTCTACATAGACACAGTAACAGTCTGATCTCTCTTTCTTTTCCCTACACATAGATCTGTAGAAAAGAATAGAGAACCCATAAACAAATCCACAGACCTACAGTGAACTAATTTTTGACAAAGGCACTAAGAATATTCATTGGGGAGAAGACAATATTTTCAATACATGTTGCTGAGAAAACTGGGTATCCATATGCAGAAAAATAAAACTTGACCCCCATCTCTCACCTTAAAAAATCAAAGGAAAATGTATTAAAGACATAAATCTAAGACCCCAAATTATGAAACTACTAAAATTATACACATTGGGAAAACTCTCCAAAACATTGATTTGGGCAAAAATGTCTTGAGCAATACCCCACAAGCACAGGCGAACAAAACAAATATGGTTAAATGAGATCACATCAAGTTAAAATGCTTCTGCAGGGCAAAGGAAACCATTAACAGAGTGATGAAAAAACCCACAGAATGAGAGAAAACATCTGCAAACTACACTTCTGACAGGATTAATAACAAGAATATTTAAGGAGGTCAAAAAATTACATAGGAAGAGATCTAACAATCCAATATAAAAATGGGCAAAATATTTGGATATACATTTCTCAAAAGAAGACATCAAAATGGCAAACAGGCGTATGAAAAAGGTGCTTACCATCATTTATCATCACAGAAATGCAAATCAATATTACAAAGAGACAGTATCTCACCCCTGTTAAAATGGCTTTTATCTATAAGTCAACCGATAATAAATGCTGGCAAGAATGTGGAAACAAGGAAACACTTGTACACTGTTGGCGCGAATGTTAATTAGTATAACCACTATAAGAAACAATTTTAAGGTTTCTCGAAAAACTAAAAATAGAGCTACCATATTATCCAGCAATCCTACGGCTGGGTATATACCCCCTTCTCCCAAAAAAAAAAAAGGAAATCAGTATATTGAAAACATATCTGCAATTCCATGTTTTTTGCAGCTCTGCTCACAATAGCCAAGATATGAAAGCAACCTAAGTGTCCACCAGCAGATGAATGGATAAGGAAAATGTGGTACCTACATACAATGGAGTACTATTCAACCATAAAAAAGAATGAGATATTGTCATTGCAACAACATGAATAGAACTGAAGATCATTATCTTAAGTGAAATATGCCAGGCACAGAAATACAAACACTGCATGTTCTCGTTTGTGGGATCTAAAAATCTAAACAATTGAACTAATGGAAATAGAGACTAGAAGGATGCTTACCAGAAGAGTAAGCTGGGAAGGGTAGTGGAGGGGTAGGGAGAATTTGGAGATGGTTAGTGTGTAGAAAACAATAATTAGAAAGAATGAATAAGACCTCATATTTGATAACACAACAGGATGATTGTAGTCAGTAATACTTTCACTGTAAATTTAAAAACAACTAAAAGACTTTGATTGGATTGTTTGTAACACAAAAAATAAACGCTTCACGTGATGGATACCCCATTCTCCATGGTGTAACTATTATGCATTGCATGCCTGTACCAAAATATCTCACATGTCTCATAAATATAAATATATACACCTGATACATACCTACAAAAATTAAAAATAAAAACAACTTAAAAAGAATGATGTCAAAACTAATTTCAGGAGAAACAAACAACAGAAGTGTATGTACTTTCTGAAAAGAAAGAAATATACTAATTGTATGGATTCTGAATTTTAGTCTTAGGAGCAAGATGGCAGAATAAAAGACTCCACAGACCATCCCTTGTACAAGGACATCGGTTTAAAAATTGTTTACACAGAAAATAAAAAACACATTCATAAGAACCAAAAATCAGGTGAGGCCTCATAATACTGAGATTTAACTCTGTATTGCTGAAGGGGACACTGAAGAAATAGAAAAAACAGTCTCTTGAATTATTGACGTCACCCTCACCCCACCACCTAGCAGTGGCAGCTTGATGCAGAGTCTCTCTGGGTGCTGGAAGAGGGAGAACACAGAAATTGTGAATCACTGAACTTGGTGCTGCCCTGTTAGAGCAGAAAGGAAAACTGGACCAAACTCAGCTAATGCCTGCCCAAGTAGGGAGCATTTAAAGCAGCCCTAGCCAGAGGGGAATCACCAATTCCAGCAGTTGGAACTTGAGTTCCCACAAGTCTCTCCACTGTGGTCCAAAGTGCTCTTGGTCTCTAAGTCAACTTAAAAGGGAATCTAGGCCGTAGGGACTGCAACTGTTAGATGAGACCTAGGGCTAAACTGGGCCCAGAGAGAGTGGACTGAAGAGGGCATGAGACCTACTAAGACACTGCTTGGGGAAGGTAAGGGAGTGCTGACATCACCCCTCCACTGACCCCAGGCAGAATAGTTCAGGGCTCCAAAAGAGATTTCTTTTTCCACTTGAAGAGAGGAGAAGAAAGAATGGGGAGGATGTTGTCTTGCATCTTGGCTACCCAGCTCAGGCACAGTAAGATAGGGCACCAGTCAGAGTAATGAGGCCTCTATTCCAGGACCTAGCGGCCAGAGGACACTTATAGACACACTCTGGGAGAGAAGGGAAGCCACTTCTGTCCCAGAAGAAAAGGATCCAGTCCTGCCAGCATTTATAACCTACTAACTGAAGAGCCCCTAGGCCCTGAATAACCAACAATGATACCCAGGTACTATAGCTAGGGCCTTGGTGAGCCCCTGAGACTTGCTGGCTTCAGTTGAGACTCAACACATTACCAGCTCTGGTGGCAAAACTTCTTTTGCTTGAGAAAAGAAGAGGGAAAAGTAGAGGGGACTTTGTCTTGCATCTTAGGTACCAGCATGGACACAGGGTGCCAGAGCATCAAGTGGGCTATTGAGGGTCCACAATTTCAGGACTTGACTCTTGGACAGCAACTCTGGACCTGCCCTGAGACAGAGGCCCACTGCCCTAAAGGGTGAGTTCCAGGCCAGACAGCACTTACCAAAAGCTGACTGAAGGGCCTTTGGGCCTTAAGGGAATATTGGTGGCATCTCGCAGAACTCCCCGTGGCCTGAGATGGCAGTGGCTACAGAGTGAGGCTCCTCTGCCTTTATAAAGTGGAGGGAAGATTGCGAAGGACTGCATCTTGTGGCTTGGGTGCCAGTTCAGCCACAGTAAAATAGAAAACCAGGAAGACTTCTAAGGTCTTTTACTCTAGTGCCTCACTCCCAGGCAGCACATCTGGATTCACCTGGAGCCTGAATGAATGAACTTGCCACCATGAAGGGAAGGAGAATGGCCTGGCTGGCTTTGCCACCTGGTGATTGTAGAGCACCAGGGCCTTGAGCGAACATAGGCCATAGCCAGGTCGTGGTTACAGCAGAACTAGGGCAAGATCCAGTGCTGTGCTGACTTCAGGTCTGATCCAGCATAGTCATAGTGATGGTGGCCACAGCAATGCTTGTGTCTCTCCAACCCCAGCAATAGGTGTTTCAGAACAGACAGAGAGACTCCATTTATTTGGGAGAAAGCAAGGTAAGAGAATCAGATCTCTGCCTAGTAATCCAGAAAATTCTTCCGGATCTTGTCAAACACCATTAAAATAGTGCCTCTATGGATGTGAAAGAACCACAGTGTTACTGAACTTGAAATGCTCACCAAAGCAGCTACAGCTAAAATCACAACATGCAGCTGGGTGCAGTGGCTCACGCCTGTAATCCTAGCACTTTGGGAGGCCGAGGCGGGTGGATCACGAGGTCAGGAGATCGAGACCAACCCGGCTAACATGGTGAAACCCCCATCTCTCCTAAAAATACAAAAAAAAAAAAAAAAATAGCTGGGTATGGTGGCGGGTGCCTGTAGTCCCAGCTACTCGGGAGGCTGAGGTAGGAGAATGGTGTGAACCTGGGAGGCGGAGCTTGCAGTGGGCCGAGATCGTGCCAATGCACTCCAGCCTGGGCGACAGAGTGAGACTCCATCTCAAAAAAAAAAAAAAAAAAAAATCACAATATGCAAATTCTTTCAAATATCTGGAAAGCTTTCCCAAGAAGGGCAGATACAAACAAGCCCAGACAGTGAAGATTACAATAAATACCAAACTCTTCAATGCCAAGACATCAAAGAACACCTACTAGCATCAACACTATCCAGAAAAACACGATTTCACCAAATAAATAAAACACCAGCAAAAACACAAATCCTGAAAAAAGCACAAATACGTGAGCTTTCAGACAGAGAATTCAAAATATCTATGTTGAGAAAACTCAAAAATACTCAATATAACACACAGAAGGAATTTAAAATTCTATAAGATAAATTTAACAAAAAGATTGAAATAATTAAAAAAATCAAGCAGAGGTTCTGCAGTGAAATGTTGGGATTCACTCAGGATGGTGGCAGAAATATTAAAGGGAAATATTAAGGAAAGTTGTAGGAATAGTCACAAACCTTTTGTTTCTTTGTTGATTTTATGTTTGGAAAGGCTGAAAGGTTACCTATCTTGTAATAATTGAATAGGCTGAAGGCAGCTGGTTCTTACCTTAGAGCATTAGGTCATAGGGTAAATACTAGGGACGATAGAGGCTTCCCCAGTTAAGTCTATTTATCCTACCTGCATTAACTAACCTTTGAGCCAAATGGCCCTGGGGCGGGGGAGGTCGACTAGGGATATTGCCCCCTAATGGTATTTACCTTCAACAGAGGTACCAGAGCTTTAATCATTCCTAGAACTACTCTCTTAACCATGTTAATTCTCCACAAGTGTGTTGACTCAGAGCGTCTGTTGTTAATTGTATACTAAATAAATGCCCTGAGTGCGAGCTGCTCAGGGCCAGCCACATTGACAATCCTTTCTTGGTGCGCAGGTGGTCGGACACGCAGCAGGACTGGCAAAACAGAGTATCTGTGTGTCAGTGTATGTTTTATTCATCTGTCATTTGGGTCAGGGTCTGTGGGCAGATGCCCGCAGCTAATGCCTTCTTGTGAGGAGCAATACCTCTGTTAAAAAGGCAATTAGCTACTGGAAAATGATCAGAGATGAAATCAGAAAATCAGAAAATGATTTTAGCTGTAGCTGCTTTGGTGACTTTTAATAACAGAACTGAGCTAATAGAAGAAAAAATAAATGAGCTTGAATACAGACTATTTGAAAATACATGGTCACACGAGATGAAAGTAAAAGTAATAAAACAACAATGAAACATGCTTATAGGATCTAGAAAACAACCTCAAAAGGGCAAACTTAAGAGTTATTTCCTTAAAGACAGGGGAAAAGAAAGAGATAGGGGTAGAAAGTTTATTCAAAGGAATAAGAACAGACAATTTTGTAAATGTAAAGTATCAATATCTGAACACAAGAAGGTTATAGAACGTCAAGCAGATTTAACCCAAGAAGACTACCTCAAGGCATTTAATAATCAAACTCCCACAGACAAAGGATAAAGAAATGATCCTAAAAGCAACAAGATAAAAGAAACAACATGCAATGGAGCTCCAATATGTCTGGCTGGCAGGAGACTTTCCAGTGGAAACCTTAGAGGCCAAGAGAGACTGGTTTGACATATTTAAAGGGCTGAAGAGAAAAACAAAACAAAACAAAACAAAACAACTTTTACCCTAGAAGAGTATGTCCAGGGAAAACATCCTTCAAAACCAAAAGAGGAATAGCAACTTTTCCAGAAAATCAAAAGCTGCTAATGTCATCAACCCCAGACTTTTCATACAAGAAATGCAGAAAGGAGTACTTCAATCAGAAAAAAAAGAATATTAAAGAACAATAACTAATTATCTGACGGTGCAATACTCACTGATAGTAATAAGTATACAGAAAAATACAGACTATCATTAACACTGTAACTGTGGTGTGTAAAATACCCTTATCCTAAGTAGAAAGACTAAATGATGAAGTGATCCAAAATAATAACTACAAGAACTTTTCAAGACATAGTATAATAACATGTAAACAGAAACAACAACAAAAAAACTAAAAAGTGGGTGGACAAAGTTAAAGTGTAGAGTTTTTCTTAAGTTTCTTTTTTTCTTATTGTTTCATTATACAAACAGTGTTAAGTTGTTATCAGGTTAAAATAATGGGTTATAAGATAGTATTTGCAAGCCTCATGGTAACCTCAAATAAAAATATACAATTGATTATGAAACACAGAAAAAGCAAGAAACTAAATCATATCACCAGAGAAAAATCACCTTCACTAGAGGAATAGAGGAAGGAAAGAGAAGAAAGAGAAGAGCATATAAAACAACTAGAAAAATAATAAGAAAATGGCAGGATTAAGTCCTTACTTATCAATAATAACATTGTATGTAAATGGGCTAAACTCTCCAATCAAAAGACATACACTAGCTTAATCGATGAAAAAATAAAATCCATTAACTGATGCCCACAAGAAACATGCTTTACCTCTAAAGACACACAGACTGAAAATAAAGGGATAAAAGGAGCTATTCCATGCCATGAAACCCAAATACGAGCATAATTAGCTATACTTATATCAGACAAAACAGATTTCAAGACAAAAACTACAAGAAGAGACAAAGAAGGTCACTATATAATGGCAAAGAGGTCAATTCAGCAAGGGGATATAACAATTTTAAGTATATATGCATCCAACACTAGAGCACCCAGATATATAAAGCAAATAATGTTAAAACACAAGACAGTGATATACCCCAATGCAATAATAGCTGAAGACTTCAACAGCTCACCTTCAGCATTGAACACATTTTCCAAACATAAAATCAACAAAGAAACATAAAACAATATGCACTGTAGATCACATGGTTCTAAAAGATAGTTACAGAACATTTCATTCAACAACTGTGGAATACACATTCTTTCCTCAAAACATGGATTATTCTCAATGTTAAACCATATATTAGGTCACAAGTCTTAAATCATTCAAAAATATAAATAATATTAAGCATATACTCTAACCACAATGGAATAAAACCAATGGAAATTAATAACAAGAAATTTTGTAAGTGATACAAATACATGTAAAATAAACAATATGCCACTGAATGACCATTGGCTCCACAAAAAATTAAGAAGGAAATTAAAAAATTTCTGGAAACAAATGATAATAAAAACAAAATATAACAAAACCTATGTGATAAAAGAGAAGCAGTACTAAGAGGAAATTTTATAGCTATAAATGCCAACACCAAAAAAGAGGAAAAACTTCAAATATACAATGATCCAAGCTAAAGAACTAGAAAAGCAAGAGCAAGTCAAACCCAAAATTAGTAGAAGAAAAAGCAATGAGAAAGGTGAGAGCAGAAACAAAAGAAATTGAAATTTTAGAAACATACCAAAGATAAATAAAACAAAAAGATTAGTCCAGGCACAGTGGCTCATGCCTGTAATCCTAGCACCTTGGGAAGCCAAGGCAGGCAGATCACTTGAGGTCAGGAATTCAAGACCAGCCTGGCCAATATAGTGAAACCCCATCTCTACTAAAAATACAAAAATTAACTGGACATGGTGGTGGGTGCCTGTAATCCCAGCTACTAGGGAGGCTGAGGCAGGAGAGTCTCTTGAACCCAGGAGGCAGAGGCTGCAGTGAGGCAAGATTGCACCACTGCACTCTGGCTTGGGTGACAGAGTGAGACTCCATCTCACAAAAATAAAAGTATGTTTTTTTTTAAAGTTAAACAAAATTGACAAACCATTAGCAAGAGTAACTAAGAAAAAAAGAGAAGATCCAAATGAATAAAATCAGAAATGAAAAAAGTTACATTACAACTGATACTGTAGAAATTGTACAGAAATTGTACAAAAAATCACTACTGACTACTATGAGCAACAATCTACTAAAAACTTGGAAAAGCTAAAAGAAATTGACACGTTCCTGGACACGTACAACCTACCAAGATTAAACTAGGAAGAAATCCGAAAGCTGAACAGACCAATAAAATGCAATGTGATAGAAGGCATAATAAAAATTTCCCAGTAAAAAAACAAGCCCTGGACTTGGTGGTTTCACTACTGAATTCTACCAAACATATAAAGAAAAACTAATACTAATCCTACTCAAACTATTCCAAAAAATAGAGGAGGAGGGAATACTTCCAAACTCATTCTATGAGGCCAGTACTGCCTTAATACCAAAACTAGACACACATTAAAAAAAGAAAAAAAAGAAAGAAAACTATTGGCCAATATCACTGATTCATATTGATGCAAAAAATCCTCAACAAAATACTAGCAAATGAAATTCAACTTTACATTTAAAAAATCATTCATCATTACCTATTGGGATTTATTCCAGGGACTAAATGATGGTTTAATATACACAAATCAACAAATGTGATACACTGTGTCAACAGAATAAAGAATAAAAAACACATCATCATTTTTTAATTAATGCTGAAAAAGCATTTGATAAAATTCAACATACTTTCATAATAAAACCCTCAAAAACTGGGTATAGAAGAAACATTTCTCAACATAATAAAAGCCATATATTACAGACCTACAGGTGGTATCAAACTGAATGGGGGAGAAACTGAAAGCCTTTCCTCTAAGATTTAAAACACAACAAGGATGCCCACTTTCACCAGTGTTATTCAGCATAGTCCTGGAAGTCCTAACTAGAGTAATCAGGCAAAAGAAGGAAATAAAGGACATAAATCGGAATAGAAAAGGTCAAATTGTTTTCAAATGATATGATCTTATATTTTAAAAATCCTAAAAACTACACAAAAAACTATTAAAATTGATAAACAAATTCAGTGAATTTGCAGGATACAAAAATCAACGTACAAAAATTAGTAGTATTTCTCTCTGTAAACAGTAGAGTCTGAAAAAGAAATAAAAAAGCAATCACATTTATGATAGCCACAAATACAATTAAATACCTAAGAATTAACAAAAAAGTAAACTATGTCTATAGTAACAACTATAAATCACTGAAAAAAGAAATTGAAAAGCATACTAAAAAATATTCCATGTTCATGGAGTGGAAGAATCTATATTGTTCAAATGTCCATACTACCCAAAGAAATCTACAGAATCAAAGAAATCCTTATCAAATACCAGTGAAATTCTTCACAGAAATAGAAAGAAACTATCCCAGAATGTATATGGAACCACAAAAGACCCAGAATAGCTAAAGCTATTCTAATCAAAAGAACAAAACTGGAAGAATCACATTACCTCACTTCAAATTATACCACAGAGCTATAGTAAGAAAAATGACATAGTCAGGCGTGGTGGTGGGCGCCTGTAATACCAGCTACTCACGAGTCTGAGGCAGTGGAATCGCTTGAAGCCAGGAGGCAGAGGTTGCAGTGAGCCAAGATCACGCCACTGCACTCCAGCCTCAGCATTAGAGCGAGACTCCGTCTCAACAACAACAACAACATCAACAAAAAGAATAGGTAAAATATTTGTATAAATATTTCTCAACAGAAACATACCTACCAAAGAAAAATAGGCATATGAAAAGTTACTCAACATTATTGATCATCAGATAAATGCAAATCAAAACTACAATGAGATATCATCTCACCCTAGTTAAAATGGCTAATATCCAAAAGACAGGCAATAATACATGCTGGCAAGGATGTGGCGATAAGGGAAGCCTCCTACACTGTTGGTGGGAATGTAAATTAGTACAATCACTATGGAGAACAGTTTGAAGGAAAAAACTAAAAACAGAGATATTATATGACCCAGCAATCCCACTGCTGGGTGTATACCCAAAAGAAAGACAGTATATCAGAGACTTATCTGCACTCCCATGGTTGTTGCAGCACTGTTCACAATAGCTATGACTTGGAAGCAACCTAAATGTCCATTGGCAGATGAATAGATAAAGACAATGTGGTATATATACACGGTGGAGCCCAGTGGAGTACTATTCAGCTATAAAAAATAATGAGATTCTGTTATTTGCACCAATGTGGATGCAAATGGAGATAATTATGTTAAGTGAAATAAGCCAGGTACAGAAAGATAAACATTGCATGTTCTCACTTGCTTGTGGGATCTAAAAATCAAAATAATAGAAATGGACACAGAGAGTAGAAGGATGGTTATCAGAGTCTGGAAAGGGTAGTGGGGGGCTGTGGGGGAGGTGGAGACAGTTAATGGATCCAAAAAGTATAGTTAGAATGAATAAGAGAGATTATTTGGTCGCACAACAGAGTGACTTTAGTCAATAATAAGTTAATTGTACATTTTAAAATAAGTAAAATAGTATAATTGGATTATTTGTAACAGAAAGGATAAATGCTTGCATAAATGGATAGCTTATTCTCCATGATGTGAATCTTATGCCTTGCATACTTGCATGAAAACATCTCATGTACTTCACAATTATATACATCTACTGTGTTCCCACAAAAATTAAAAATTAAAACATTAAAAACATGAAACCTAGAGAAAGACTCTTACAATATTCATTATTGATTGCTTCAGGGAAAGACATCTTTTAAGAAACTTTCATCTCAGCATTGTTCTTCAGTTACTCAAGGTTGAATTGAGCTTTTATCTTGCAAAAATGAGGAGACAACTTTCTGGTCTAGCTGTATAATTTATTTAAAATCTCAAGAATCATACACATATCAAAACATTGCACTGATGTTGATCCATTATGCAAAAAATGCATTGTACCCCATAAATATATGCAATTATTATTTGTCAATAAAAACAAAATTTTAAAAATCTTAGAAACGAACTTATAATTGCAGAGTTCTTTTGCTTAAAGAAATAGCAATTAATGACTATTTCGAGGACACATATAGGTAAGGAGGCAAATACCTATTTGTCTCATTTCACTTACAAATGATCTCATGACTTTTATAAGCAAATGACTTAGAAATGTCTATTTGATTATAAACATTGAATCATATCAATTTACCATTTGACTTGTAATTCACATTTTATTAGGCTTTACAAAATTAAGCAATTATTATTCTGTCCTAAATTAGTATGCTAATTTTGTGATATTATGGCTTGAAGTTTTCACATAATTTTTGTTGAATTTTTTTTGTTACCCAATTTATGCAAGTATTATTTTATTGGCTGTATTTTTTTTATCATTTTGGCTTACACCTTTTGCAATTGTTAAAAAAATGTATTGGATTATACTCTATTTTTGTTTCTGCTATATTGATTTGACTTATTTCCTTCGGGGACACTAACTAGTTGTAGACTGGATCTATTGTTTTTGTCGTATTTTCTCTCATAATTTTCAGTCATTTCCTCTGCATTATGAGAAAGTGTCTTTAGTTTGCACTAAATGCCTCGGCATCATAATCATTTTGATTTTCTAAATGTTGGTCTTCCTCAACTGTTTATCTTGTGAATTTTAGTTTTGTTACAGGTTTTAGTTTCTACACAGCCTCCCTGTATACATTTCCTTTCCTTCTCATTTGTCACATTTTTCACAGTATAAGTAATTTCATGTATTTACTAGAGACCAGAACATGTAGTCCATTTTTTAATTTTCTTTTGTAAATAATTTTGATAATTCTTATTTTCTCTTAAGAGGTGATTCTTTTATTAATGTTATGGGATCTTTTTATGGATTATATATTGTTGTTTTTCAAAATGTTGACTCATACTTGAATAAAGGAAAATATATTTAATATATTTAAGAAGCAAATAGTTTATTTATTGAGGTCTCTATTATTTGATTACATTGCTAGAATATCTTTCTCAGTGTTTAACCTGGAAGCTAGTTTGACATGAAAAATTTTATTCAAATATTCAGTATGTATTTGTCTAGTTGTCTAGTTAAGCTCTGATGATACAGGCAGGCCAATTTCTCTGTCCTCTCATTGCCTAATCTTGAAATTACACAGAGATCTTCTTATTCTTTGTCTCCCTGGGTTAAATTTTCTGGCTTACACTGGCCGTGTGACTTCAGGTGAGTCATTTAACCTTGGCAAGTTTTCCCTACCCTTTGCCAGATTATTTTAGAGACACCGTATTATTTATTTTTTATAATTTTTGTGATCAGAGTTTATAAAATATTTTTTCTCAACTTTTATTTTAGGTATAGGGAGTACCTGTGCAGATTTGTTGCATGTGTATTTGCACCCAAGTAGTGAGCATAGTATCCAATAGGTAGTTTTTTTTAAACTATATGCCCCTCCCTCCCCAGACTACTAGTTAGCAGTGTCTATTGTTCCCATGTTTATGTCTCCGGCTGCTCAATGTTTGGCTCCCATTTGTAAGTGTGAACATGCAGGATTTAGTTTTCTCTTCCTGTGTTCATTGGCTTTAACCTCCAGCTCTATTCATATTGCTGCAAATGACATGATTTTATTCTTTTATATGGCTATGCAGTATTCCATGGTGTATATATACCACATTTTCTTTATCATCCACCATTAATGGACATCTAGATTGATTCCATTCTTTGGTATTGTGAATAGCAAAGCAATTAACACATGTATGCATGTGACTTTTGATATAATTATCTATTTTCCTTTGAGTACATATCCAGTAATGGGATTGCTGGGTCAAACAGGAGCTCTGCTTTAAGTTCTTTGAGGAATCGCCACACTGATTTCCCAATGATTTAACTAATTTATACACTCTCACCAACAGTGCATAAGTGTTTCCTTTTTCTCTTCAGCCTCTCGAGGATCTTACTTGTTATTTTAATTTCTCAAAAATAGCCATTTGGAGTGGTGTGAGATGGTATATCGTTGTGGATTTGATTTGCATTTCTCTAATGATCAGTTATGTGGAACATTTTTATATGTTTGTTGGCTGTTCATGTCTTTTTTGAGAAATGTCTGTTCATATCCTTTGCCCATTTAATGGTGTTTTTTTTGCTTGTTAATTTGTTTAAATTTTGTATAGATTCTTGATATTAGTCTTTCGTCAGATGCATAGTTTGTGAATATTTTCTTCTATTCTGCAGGTTGGCTGTTTGCTTTGTTGATAATTTATTTTGCTGTGCAGAAGCTATTTAGCTTAATTAGGTCCCACTTGTCAATATTTTTTGCTGTAGTTTCTTTTGAAGACATAGGCAAAAATTCTTTGCCGAGGCTGATATTGAGAAGGGCATTTCCTAGGTTTTTTTTGAATTTTTATATTTTGATATTTTTCATTTGAATCTTTAATCCTACCTGAGTTAATTTTTGTATATTGTAAAAGGTAAGGGTTCAGTTTCATTCTTCTGTATAGCCACTTGTCACAACACCATTTATTGAATAGGGAGTCCTTTTCCCATTGCTTGTGTTTCTTGGCTTGTCAAATATCAAATGGTTGCGTGTGTAAGGCTTTATGTCTGGGTTTTATATTCTGTTCCATTTGTCTATGTTTCTGTTTTTATACCAGTACCAGGCTATTTTGGCTACTATAGCCTTATATACTATGGTTTGAAGTCAGGTAATATGATCCCTCTAGCTTCGTTCTTTTGCTTAGGATTGCTTTGTTTATTCAGGCTCTTTTTTTGGTTCCATACGAGTTTTTGAATAGCTTTTCCTAATTCTGTGATGAATGACTTTTGTAGTTTGATAGGAATAGTGTTGAATCTGTAAATTGCTTTGGGCCATATAGCCATTTTAATCCATAAGCACGGGATATTTTTCTATCTATTTGTGTCATATCTGATTTCTTTCAACATGTTTGTGCTTCTTGTAAAGATCTTTAAGCTTTTTGATTATGTGTACTGCTAGGTATTTCATTTTATTTCTGCCTAGTATAAATGGTATTGTGCTCTTGATTTAACTCTCAACCTGGACATTATTGGTGTATAAATATACTACTGATTTTTGTACATTGATTTTGTATAGTAAAACCTACTAAAGTCATGTAACAGTTCTAGTAGCCTTTTGGTGGAGTCATTAGGCTTTTCTAGTTACAGAATCTTATCTCTAACAAAGAGAGATAATTTGTCTTCTTTTTTTTTTCCAATTTGGATGTCTTTTAATTCTTTCTCTTGCCTGATTGCTCTGGCTAGGGCTTCCAGTACAATGTTAAAGTAGGAGTGGTGGGAGTGTAGGAGTGGTGAGAGTGGGCATCCTTGTCTTGTTGCAGTTCTTAAGGTAGATTGTTTCAGCTTTTGCCCATTCAGTATGACATTGGCTTGTCATATATGGCTCTTATTATTTTGAAGTATGTTCTTTTGTTGCCTAGTTTGTTGGGTCTTTTTATCATGAAGGGATAATGGACATTATTGAAAGTTTTCACTTCTTCTATTGAGAGAACATATGATTTTGTTTTTAATTCTGTTGAGGTGGTGAATCACAGTTAATAATTTCCATATGTCAAAACAATCTTGCATTCCACAAAGAAAGCCTTATTGGTTGTGATGTATTAACATTTTGATGTGCTGCTGAATTTGGTTTGCTAGTATTTTGGGGACATTTTTATCTGTGTTCATCAGAGATACTGGCCTCAAGTTTTTTTTTTTTTTTTCATTGTGTCTCTGCCAGATTTGGGTATTAAGCTAATGCTGGCTTCATAGAATCAGATAGGGAGGAGCCTCTCCACCTCGATTTTTTTGTAATGGTTTCATTAGGATTGGTACCAGTTCTTTTATGTCTCGTAGAACTCAGCTATGAATTTGTCTGGCCCAGGACTTCTTTTGGTTGCTAGGATTTTTATTGATGATTTAATTTCAGAATTCAATTTTGGTCTGTGCAGGTTTTAAATCTTCTGATTCAATTTTGTGAAAATGTGTGTTCTAGAAATTTATCAATTTCTTCTAGATTTTCTAATTTGTGTGCATAGTGTTGTTAAATAGCATTCTATGAAGATCTTTTTCAACTACATGGGATCAATGGTAATGTCATCCTTATCATTTCTGATTATACTTATTTGGATCTTCTCTCTATTTTATTTGTTAATCTAGCTGGAAGTTTATCAATCTTGTTTTTTTTTTAAATCTACACTTGGTTTCATTAATCATTTGCATGAATGCTTGCATCTCGATTTAATTCAGTTCTTATTTTAATTATTCATTTTTTTCTTCTTGCTTTGGTATTGGTTTTTGTGTGTTTTTTTTTTCCTCTAGTTACTTTAGGTACAAAGTTAAAACATTAATTTGAGAGCTTTCTAACATCTTGATGAAGGCATTTAGTACTATAAATTTTCCTCTTAACACTGCCTTAGCTGCATCCCAGAGGTGTTGGTAGATTGTGTTCACATTTTGATTAATTTCAAATATTTTTTATTTCTGCTTTAATTTAAATGTTCACTCATTAGTTATTCAGGATGAAGTTGTTTAATTTCCATGAATTTTTGTCATTTTAAGATATCATCTTGATATTTATTTTTCTTTTTATTGCACTGTGATTTCAGTGTGCTAGGTATGATTTTAATTTTTTCAATTTACTGAGATTGAACATGTGATTGATCCTATAATACATTCCATGTGAAGATGAGTAGAATATATATTCTGTTGTTGGTACGTGGTGTGTTCTGTAGATGTCTATTTTGTCCAATTGTTCAAGTCTTAAATTTAAGTCCAGAACTTCTTTGTTAGTTTTTACCTCAAAGATGTCTCTAATGCTGTTGGTGAAATGTTGAAATGTCCCACTGTTATTATGCATTTGTCTAGGCATGCTGGGTTTGTGAAAGAGAGCCTGGCCTCCCTAACTGCCAGGGCTACAACAACTTGCACCAGGGTGCTTAGGGATCCAAGTCCTATGGGGCTCCATGTGGGCCTGAGAAGTGGCTCTGCCCAGTTTCCATGCAGCTGTCTCTCCATGTTTGTCTGGGGGTCCAGGGGGTCAGTTAGGATCTCTTATGCCTAAGATTACAAAGGTTTATAGCAGAAGTGTGTGTCCCTTGGGCCTCTTGCTCACTCACCCATTCCCCACAATAGGGAGCCTCCCCATGCTCCATGCCAATCTCAGGTGGGCAGCCTCACTCCTCTCTGTCCTCCGTGGGTCACCATTGCTTCCTTCAGGAATCACAACATGGCCTCCTGGACAATCCACTTGAACACTAGAGCTAGTATTTATGCACCACTCTATCTCCTCTCTGTGACAGTGGTACACACTAGCTGCTTCTAGTCAACCATCTTGGCACTTTCTTCTATATTATTTTATCTGTAATTATTTCTGTATGTGTCTCTAAAATACAAGTGTTTTTTAAAAACTTAAAATATCCTATTATTATACTTGAAACACTAAAAATAACTTCTAAATATTAACAAATATCCAATCAAGGTTCCTATTTATCTTATTTTGTTATATTTTAAAATGATTTTTTAGTTTATAGCCAAATCAGATCAATCAATTTGATTGTTGATGTATATTCCAAGACTTCAAATATTTACCTTCTCTCTCCATCTCTCTTTTCTCACTCCCTCCTCCCTCTATCCCTCTCTCTTTTTCTCTTGTTTTACTGAAGTAACCCAGTTGTTTTTATTGGGTTTTCCAATGTCTAAAGTTAGCCTCCTTATAATACTGCCTCATGTGTTTCTCTCTGCCTTGTATTTCTTGTCATTATTAGATTTGGCTGACAAGCTTGACTATTTCACACACACACACACACACATACACACACACACACAGAGACATTATATTTAGCTATTTGTATAGGGCAAGCACAGCTACACAACAGGGACATTATGTGAACAAAACACTCACTTTTTCTCAACTAGTACTTGGTAATACTGAGGCACTGAGTGCATAGAAAAAGCAGAGTAATTGCTTCTTTGTCTTAATTGCAGTGCAGGATTTCAAAATAATGAGGTGGTGCCTAAAATCCTTCACAAGTGAACAATGAGGCTTTTAAAAAATATATTATGAACTAATAGTCTTGACAATATTTGACATACTTAAATCGCTTTCAATTATTACTCTTTTTGGTAGTTAAGAGAACTTCTCATATTTTTCCAGTGGGAATTTATCCAGGTTGGCTCTTAAGACCTTTTCTAATATAACTCTAGTAGTTTTTGATCATTTCTATGATTTCTGGAATGACAAGGTATTTCAGGTTCACCTTATGCACCTTGTGCCCAGAGCCTAAGTACTTTAGAGTCTAAACAATACAGCTATGGTATCTTCTCTTTATTTTGCTACCATAACTCAACAATCTCCTGTGTAGTCTTTCATTTTTTTCAATGACTCAAGGACTCTTCAGAATCTTCCTTTTACTTCTTCCTATGTTATTATCTCTGGGGACTAAAACAGGTCATGCTCATAAACCCGATAACATTTTTACCATTTAATTAATTTTAAAAAGTATTATTTCCTATTACTTTATCTTTCACTTCTGACACTACAGAGCTAGAACTTAGATTTTCATACTATTCACCATCTTTCTATCTATCTGTAAGATTTTTAGTCAATTTTTCATGATTCGTACAGCACATTACAAGCCTTATGGCCTTTGTTTTCATTCCCCACGGAAATTTTCCCAAGCCATTTCTTTTTTTCTTAAATTCCCAATCTGACCTGTCTTCATCACTTTTAGCACATAATCCTTCTTCAACTTTTCTGAAACAATAATATGTTTGCACATCAGTGTTTTGGGCACACTTCCATTACAACATTTCCATGCATTTTCCTTCAATATGCTCTTTTCTTTTCTGTTTCTGAGGAATAATTGGACTTATACATTGTGAGAATTAATTATGTTCTCTTGTTCCTCTCTGTCTTCACTTCTTTCAGGATCTACTTTATCTATTAACAACTATTTCTCTTGTCCTGTTAGTCTTTTTCAAATACTGATTATTTTAAAAACATTTCATTTGGTTGCACAACACTGCACTAGCCATGTTCTCCTTCCACTTCACAATTGTTTCACATTTGATGCCTAATTCTTCTGCTTTCTAACTATAATTATTAACCAAGGCATGACTTTGGTCAATTTCTTTATATCCTTTATGTTTTATAGTTTTATCTAAGAGAGGCAGCATTTTATAGTTAACAGAAAAGGCTCTGGATCCAGAGTATTTGAGCTTGAATACTTGGGCTCCACTGTTTTCTATATGTAAAACATTGGGCTAGATACTTATTCTCCCTTTGCTTGAGGTTTTTTTTTTAATTAACTATTAAATGGAGATAACAATTATTATGAAATCAAAGGGTTGTTTAGGATTAAGATTATATGAACCAATACATTTAAAGTGCTTATAACAATGTATTGGTACATAGTAAATGATTAGTAATCATTATTATTAGTTATCATGATTTAAAAAGTAAAAAGGAGGGTTGGGTGCAGTGACTCATGCCTGTAATCCAAGCGCTTTGGAAAGCCAAGGCAGGAGAATTGCTTGAAACCAGGTGTTTGAAAAAAAATTTAAAAGGAGTGTGGCAATGGCAATATCACACAGAATATGGCAAATGCAATATAATAAGTATTAAAAAGTTATAGAGAAGGGCAAGATGTAGCAAAGAGGAAAATCAAATTCTAATCTGGGATGGTAGGGAAGACCTTAAAAGAATCCAATGCCCGAACTAAAATTTGAGAAACAAATAAAAACTTTCAGTTGGGTAAGGAGATGAAAACTATTTCAGAATGAAAGGAGACCACGTGGATGAGGACAGCATATTTAAGCTGCTGGAAAGAAATTGTTCTGCTTGAAACCTGCAGAGAGGAACAGTGGAGGGGCAGGGGATAAATACGCCTAGTAAGATAGGCAGGGCCAGATCCTAGTGTGCTTTTTTAAGGTAAGGGACTGGGCCTTAAATCTATGTAAAAATTACCAGTAATTGTTATCTTTAATTTTGATCAATATTTATTCTTACATTTCCAACTTCCTCTTTCAGGCCTTAAGCATTCATAATTGAACTACTTATTATATTAGCTTAATAATCAGTCTTGCTTTGTTCAACCCTTCCTATCAACCAATCCCATTCTCATTATAATTCTTCCATGTTCAAATATGTTCAGTAGCTTTCCTCTAAGTAATATGGAAGGTCCAAATCCCGTGATCTAACCTCAGCCTAACTATCCAACTTATCTCTCTCTAGCCTCTATTGAAAAAAAAAAAAATTCCTAGAAGTGTTCTGTGTTTTTATACTTCTACACTACTCCACATGCTTTTCTTTCTCCCTAGAATAATATTCTCTCAACTCCCTCTGGTGAAATTTTACTTATCCTTAAAGCTATATCTATCTATATGCTGATTTCATCTACTAGAAAACGTCAGATTCATCTACATTTATTAGGTCCCTTCTCTGTGCCAGGCACTGTGTTAAATATTTCCACATACTATCTATTTCAATATTCATGCAAGTCACTTAGCGAGGCATTGTTTTTCCTCTTCTACATAACTTAAGTCTAAGAATCAAGGAAGTAAATGGTTAAAAATGCACTCAAGTTCACACAGTTACTAATTGTAGATTCCCGGTTCAAACCAATGTCTTCTGTTAGAGCTTGCTGACTCGCTACCTGAGTTCACTTGTGAATTTTGCCATAGCATATTCTGTAACACACTATCTGCGTTTTTTATGTTTTTATTTGTGTCCAACTTTGATATCTACCACAATACACAGCACCTTGTCTCATACATATTTCTTATCAGTATAAATCCATGCAATGTAAGCAGAAATTAATTAACAAAACAATCTTACTTCCCAATTTCATGTGATCTTACTCTCTAATAGACTTAGATGTAGAGAAGCAGGAGCAGAAACAGCAAATATTGGTGCCCCATCCTCAATTCAGTGCAAAACACATTGTCCAGTGGGAAATTGTGAAAGTAAATGAAATAATGCCTGAGAAGTACCGAAAACTTTTCGTTTGAACGGTACTATATACACTCAAGGATTTAAAAAATATATATTGTGGATATTAAACCTAGTCAGAAATTACTTAAATTTATATTGAGAAGTCTTTACTGAGGAAATTAGTTTCATAATCCAGTCACACATGATAAAGGATATGAGCCAATATTTAAACAGTCTGGTCCATTTACTGGACACAAGGGTGCCATTGATCTAAAGACTACATTTAGTGAATATAATACCCTTAGAGTTAGTGGCTGTAATTTTCTTGAGTTCATAAAACTTCATTTGGCCAATATTCAACTCTAACCACATAAGTCAGTGTACTTAAATATGCTGGGCCAGTAAGTCAGCAGGCCTTCACCAGTGCTAATTTTGCTCTCCCTCATTTTAAATTAAATTTTCTTTAAGCTTAATCAATTGATTTAGCAAATTTAAGACCACACATTAAGAAGCAGAGTCAGTATGAGGCTAAAAAAGTCTGATAGAGTTAGAGCATTAGTTTGTCTCTCAAGGATAGTTAAATGAGCTGCTGAAAACCTTTAAAACATCTAGAAAGCAAACCTTTATATTCAAATGCAATGGGAAAAACCTCTGTCATTATTATGTGTAGGATACAACTCATTTCCTCACGTTTTAAACATGTTCCTTTATTTCATGTCCCCAAAGGCTTATATATACTATGCTGATTTTTTAGTTATCAGGAATTTAATATTAGTCCTTTTACATTTTAGCTTTCACAATATGTTTGAGGATCACTGAATTGTATATAAAATTTAGCTGCTTTTCTCCTGATTGAATAATAAATAAAAGTTATAGCAGAATATCTAACCTATGGGGCCACAAAACAATGAGTAATATATTCTCCACACGCAGTATGTGATTAGAAATAATATTATAAATAGTATTATGTGTGGTACATTCTGTTGAACCCTGATAAAGAAGTGGAATGATTCATTATCTAGTTTAAAGGCGTAAATTAATGGGAAAGATTAAACTATAACTCTGAATGGCTGAGAATATAACAAGAATAGAAGAGAAACAATAGACTAATAAAATGGAACATGAAGATATATTTAAAATAGAAGTTAAAACTTTGGAATAAAAGTATTTGTCTTAGTTCAGGTCACTTAAACTCTCTGAACCTGAATCTGTTCATCTGTGAGGATAATAATTACTGTATTACAAAGATTTGAGCACTAAATGAAATTGCTGTGAAGGCCCTTGGCATTGGTAAATAATGACGTTACCATGTCTGCTTTTTAATTTTTGAAATTATGTATTACGCATTTTAAAACTCTTAATATCAATCTTTATGTCACATTAAAGTACACTTTAAGAGAATCCATTCTATTTACATCTTAAGAATTGCTCTTAGTAATACATTTCCTTCTGTAAATACTAGCCTAGAAGTTACATATGTTTTCTTCTGTAAAATCTAAATATTGAAAATACACAAATATTCTTTATAAATATTAAAGTTTTAATATTAAAAGCTATTAAAATATATATGTACTTTTTTTATACTTTTGATGAAATATATTCAAATTGGACAAATTTTCAGTAGCATAACATTTCGTTTTAATTTTTTTATCATTGAGAATGAACAAAAGTCAAGACTGTGATAAACATGTAAAATAGGAAAGTGAAGTTCAGTTTTTTGTAGGGGCCAAGATGGCAGACTACACACAGCCAGGAGGAACATCTGTCACTGAGGGACTGGGACATCCCAAAGACTGGTACACTATGAGCAGATCTTCAGAGAGAAGGCACTGAGAGTGGATGGAAACAGGGCCCACTTGCTGGGATGAAGAGGGAGGTAGCTGGGACCCCTAAAGGAGGCTTCCATACACTGGGACTCATTACTGGCCCCCGGCAAATCCTGGGGAAGGGATGAGTTGAGGAGGTGTGAAGTAACCCCCTCTCACCAGGGACCTCTGGAATCCTGGCAGCAGGAGACCCACAACCCCCACAGACACTTGAGATGCCAGGGAGAGCTTCTTAGAAAGGTGTCAGGGGCAGGATTCCAGGCTATTCAGAGCCCAGTTTGGTACAGGAATGTCTGCAATGGAGCAAGGCCAGGGATGCCCATCCCCTCAATGCTCAACAAGCTTCCCTAGGAGAATTTAGTCATAGGGGAACTATTGGACCTGATCAGAGCAGGGGGAGTCTCGCCTGTGAAATGGGCCCAGTCAGATCTAATCAATCCCTTGTCTTCTGGCTTCTCCCAGGGCACCAGCCAGGCTGCACTTGCTTGCAGTACAGCCTTGGATGCCCAACCAGGGTGCCTACCGGGAGCCTGCATTATAGCTCTTGCACTGGAAAACTCCACCTGACTGTTGCAGAGCTCCAGCAGAGCAGCCCTAACCAACACACAGCATCCCCACCTGCACCGCCTCCCGTAAGATCCTCCCCCAAGCAAATTTGCGAGCATGCATTTGCTGATAGCTACTGCCCCATCACTTTGCTGTCTCCAGTGCACTCATGGGTGGACCTTGCCTCCTCTCCCCACTGGTGTACGTGTGTGCATGCACCCCATTATGCCACTGCTGCCAAAATGAGCACACCCCCGCAACCCTTCTGCCATTGGAGGAGCAAACTCAGGCACAGAGGCAAATGCCCTCATCCCCCATCTCCACCCCATGCTGCCACTGCCGCTGCTGGTGTGAACATGTGCATGGAGGCTGGCAGCCTTGAACTCTGCCAGTGTCCTGCATCTGCACCAACATGGCTGCCAGAGTGAACATGCACATGGACACCAGTTGCCCCATCCTCTTCACTCTGGTTCACACTGCCACTGCTGCTGCTATGAACACAGACATGGAGGATGGAATCCCCATGCATGCCAGAGCCCTGCCCCATTCAACAAGCATGCAAGCCACTGCACTGCCACTGCTGCTGTCATGGGCAAATGAGCCTGGACCCCACTGCCACTGCCCCAGTGAAGCACTTTTTATGGCACCACTTATTGGAGTATTTTAGCCAGAAGTCCAGGAACTCTTTGGCACTTCCAGTACAGTAGGTTCCTAATCTTGAAGTGCTGGAGAACATAGCTAGTGAGTTGTCCCATACAAGTCTTCCAGTGGTAGCCCAGGAGTGCTGAGCTGAGCTTCGGTCACCTAAAATCTTCCAGAAACAAAACCATTCAACTGAACTCATTTTATTCCGCAATCAAACCCCCAGGGGCAACAAAGAAGATAAAAGCAAATAAACTAATTGGAAGGACAGTACATTCAAAGATTGAAGGACCATCACCCACACAGATGAGAAAGAACCAGTGCAAGAACTCTGGCAACTCAAAAAGCCAGAGTCTTCTTACCTCCAAATGATCACACTAGTTTCCCAGCAATGGTTCTTAACCAGACTAAAATGGCTGAAATGACAGAAATAGAAATCAGAAAATGGATGGGAATGAAGATCATTGAGACACAGGAAAAAGTTGAAAACCAATCCAAGGATTCTAAGGAATATAATTAAATAATACAAGAGATGAAAAAGGAAATTGCCATTTTGTAGGAACCAAACTGATATGACAGAGCTGAAAAACTCAGTTAAAGAGTTTCAAAATAAAATCTCAAATGCTAACAGAAGAATTGATGAAGCTGAGGAAAAAAAATCTCAGAGCTTAAAAACCAGATCTCCAAAGTAACTCACTCAGACAAAAATAAAGAAAAAACAATATAGAAGAATAACAAAGCCTTCCAGAAACATGAGATTACGAAAGGAGACCAAATCTACAAACTCATAGGTGTCCCTGAAAGAGGAGAGGAAACAAGCAACTTGGAAGACATATTTGAGGATATTGTGCATGATATTTTCTCCAACCTCATTAGAGATGCCAACATTCAACTACAGGAAAAGCAGAAAATCCCTGTGAGATACTACTCAAGAAGACTGTATGCAATACTCATAGTCATGAGATTTTCCAAGGTTGAAATGAAAGAAAAAATGTTAAAGTCAGCTAGAGAAGGGGAAAGTCACCTACCAAGGGAACTGCATTAGACTAACAGCAGGCCTTTCCACAGAAACTCTAGAAGCCAGAAGAGCTCGTGTACCTATATTCGGCATTCCTAAAAAGAAAATTCTCACAATTTCATATCCAGCAAAACTAAGCTTCATAACCAAAGGAGAAATAAGGTCCTTTTCAGACAAGCAAATGCTAAGGGATTTTGTCACCACAAGAACAGAATTTACATTATTCTCAGCTGCACATGGCACATACTCTAAAATAATCCACACAATCTGCCATAAAACAATCCACAGCAAATTCATAATAACTGAAGTCATACCAACTGTACTCTTGGACCATAGCACAATAAAAATAGAAAACAATACTAAGAAAATCACCCAAAACAGCACAATTTTATGGAAATTAAACAACCTACTCCTGAATGACTTTTGGGTACACAATAAAATTAAGGCAGAAATAAAGAAATTATTTTAAACATATAAGAACAAAGATACAACGTAACAGGATCTCTGAGACACAGTTAAAACAGTAAGAGGGAAGTTTCTAGCACTAAATGTTCACATAAAAAAGTTAAAAATATACCGAATTAACAACCTAACATTACACCTAAAGGAACCAGAGAAACAACAGCAAACCAACCCCAAAGCTAGCAGAATAAAATAAATAACCGTAATCAGAGCTGAACTGAAAGAAATTAAGAGGTGAAAACCACACAAAACATAAATGAATGCAAGATAGTTTTATATAATAAATAAAATAGACTGCTATCTAGACTAACAAGAACAAAATGATCTAAATAAACAAATTCAGAAATGACAAAAGGGGACATTACCACTGACCACACAGAAAAAAAAAAAAATCAGAGAGTACTATGAACATCTCTATGCATGGAAACTAGAAAATCTGGAAAAAAATGGATAAATTCCTGGAAATGTACAACCTCACAAGATAGAACCAGGAAGATATTCAATTCCTGAACAGGTCAATAATGAGTTCTAAAACTGATTCAGTAATAAAAAGCAGAATATCCAGAAACAGCCCGGGACCAGATGGGTTCACAGCCAAATTCTATCAGATATACAAAGAAGAGCTGGTACCATTTCTGCTAAAACTATTTCAGAAAATTGAGAAGGAGGGACTCCTTCCTAACTCATTCTATGAGGCCAGCATCATCCTGATACCAAAACCTAGTAGACACACAATTAAAAAAAAATTTAGATCAATATGCTTGATGAATGTGGATGCAAATATCTTCAACAAAATGGTAGCAAACCTAATCCAGCAGAACATCAAAAAGCTAATCCATTCCGGTCAAGTAGGCTTTATCCCAAGTATGCAAGATTGTTTCAACATATTCAAATAAATAAATGTGATTCATCACATTAACAGAGCTAAGAACAAAAACCACATAATCATATCAATATATGCAGAAAAGGCTTTTGATAAAACTCAACATTCCTTCATGTTAAAAACCATCAACAAACTAGACATTAAAGAAATATACTTAAAAATAATAAGAGCCATCTATAAAAAAAACTACAGCCAACATTACACTGAATGGGCACATGCTGGAAGAATTACCCTTGAGAAACAGAAAGACAAGGATGCCATCTCTCACCCCTCCTATTCAACATAGTACTGGAGGTCTTAGCCACAGCAATGAGGCAACATAAATAAATAAAAGGCATTCAAATATGACGACAGGAAGCCAAACAATTCTTGTTCACAGACAATATACTTGTGTACCTAGAAACCTCATAGTTTCTGGGCAAAAGTGCCTTGATCTGATAAACAACTTCAGAAAAGTTTTGGGATACAGAATGAATGTACAGTAATCAGTACCATGCCTGTACAACAGCAACATCCAAGCTGAAAGCCAAATCAACACAATTCCATTCACAATAGACACAAAAAGAGTAAAATACCAAGCAATATAGCAAACCAGGAAAGTAAAATATCACTATAATGAGAATTATGAAACACTGCTTAAAGGAATCAGATAGGACACAAACAAATGGAAAAACATCCCATGTTCATGGATAGGAAGAATTAACATTGTTAAAATAGTCATACTGCCCAAAGCAATTTACAGATTCAATGCTATTCCTATCAAACTAACAATTACTTACTTTACAGAATCAGAAAAAAAAAACATTTTAAAACTCATATGGAACCAAAAAAGAGCCTGAATAGCCAAGGCAATCCTATGCAAAAAGAACAAAGCTGGAGGCATCATATTACCCAACTTCAAATTATACCATAAGGCTACAATAACCAAAACAGCATGACCCTGGTACAGTAAAAGATGCATACACCAGTAGAACAGAATAGAGAACCTAGAAATAAAGCCTTACACCTACAACTATCTGATGTTCAACAAAGCCAACAAAAATAAGCAATCAGGAAAAGGACTCACTAGTTAATACGTGGTACTAGATAACTGGCTAGCCATATGCAGAAGATTGAAACTGGACCCCTTCCTAACACCATATAAAGAATCAACTCGAAGTGGAATAAAGACTTAAATGTAGCACCTAAAACCATAAAAACCCTAGAAGATAACTTAAGAAATACCATTCTAAGCATAGGCCCTGGGAAAGATTTCATGATGACGAATCCAAAAGCAAATGCAACAAAAACAATAATTGACAAATGGGATCTAATTAAATAAAAGAGCTTCTGCACAGCAAAATAATTGTCAACAGAGTAAAGAGACAACTTAGAGGATAGGGTAAAACATTGGTAAACGAAGCATCTGTCAGAGGTTCAATGTCCAGAATCGACAAGGAATTTAAATTAACAAGTGAAAAACAAACAGCCCCATAAAATACCAGGGAAAGGACATGCGAAGACACTTTTTTATTTTTTCAGATTTATTGAGGTATAATTAAATTATACAAATATACAAATAAAAATTGTATATAGTTACAGTGCAAAACATGATTTTTTTTTTGATTTCCAACTTATATTTTTAAGTTCAAGGTTACTTGTGCAGGATGTGCAGGTTTGTTAGATAGGTAAACGTGTGCCATGGAGGTTTGCTGCACAGATCATCCCATCACCTAGGTATTAAGCTCAGCATCCATTAGCTATTCTTCCAGATGCTCTCCTTTCTCCCACACACCCCCCACCTTCTGGCAAGGCCCCGTGTCTGTTGTACCCCCATGATGTGTCCATATGCTCTCATCATTTAGCTCCCACTTATAAGTGAGAAAATTTGGTACTTTGTTTTCTGTTTTTGCATTAGTTTGCTAAGGATAATGACTTCTAGTTCCATTCATGTCTCCACAAAGGACATAATCATGTTCCTTTTTCTGGCTGATAGTATTCCATGGTGTATATTTGCGACATTTTCTTTATTCCATCTGTCATTGATGGGCATTTGGGATGATTCCATGCGTTTGCTATTGTTAACAGTGCTGCAGTGAACATACACATGCTTCTATCTTTATAACAGAATGATTTATATTCCTTTGGGTATATACCCAGTTATGGGATTGCCAAGTCAAATGGCATTTCTGCTTCTAGGTCTTTGAGGAATAGCCACACTGTCTTCCACAATGATTGAACTAATCTTCACTCCCACCAACAGTGTACAAACATTCCTTTTTCTCCACAACTTCACCAGCATCTGTTGTTTTTTGACTTTTTAATAATAGCCATTATGACTGATGTGAAGTGGTATCTCACTTTGGTTTAGATTTGCATTTCTCTAACGATCACTGACGTTGAACTTTTTTATATATTTGCTGGGTGCATGCATGTCTTCTTTTGAGAAGTGTCTGTTTATGTCCTTTGCCCACTTTTTAATGGGTTTTTTTCTTTTCAGTTTGTTTAAGTTCCTTGTAAATGATGGATATTAGACCTGTGTCAGACAAATAGATTGCAAAAATTTTCTCCCATTCTGTAGGTTGTCTGTTCACCCTGATGATAGTTTCTTTTGCTATGCAGAAGCTCTTTATTTAGATACCACTTCTCAATTTTTGCTTTTGTTGGAATTGCTTTTGTCATCCTTGTCATGAAATCTTTGCACGTGCCTATGTTGTGAATGTTATTGCCTAGATTTTCTTTTAGTGTTTTTATAGTCTTGGGCTTTACATTTAATTCTAATCCATCTTGAGTTAATTTCTATACATGGTATAATGAACGGGTCCAGTTTCAATTTTCTGCATATGGCTAGCCAGTTCTCCCAGCATTATTTATTAAGTAGGGAATCTTTTCCCTAGTGCTTTTGTCAGGTTTGTGAAAGATCAGATGGTTATAGGTATGTGGTCTTATATCTGGGTTCTCTGTTCTGTTCTAATGGTCTTTGTGTCTGTTCTTGTACCAGTACCATGCTGTTTTTGTTACTGCAGCCTTGTAGTAAAGTTTGAAGTTGGGTAGCTTGAATCCTCCAGCCTTGTTCTTTTGGCTTGGGATTGTCTTGGCTATTCAGGCTCTTTTTTGGTTCCATATGTATTTTATAGTAGTTTTTTTTTTTTTTTTTAGTTCAGTGAAGAATGTCAATGGCAGCTTAATGGCAATAGCATTGAATCTATAAATTGCTTTGAGCAGTATGACCATTTTTATGATATTCATTCTTCTTATAAATGAGCATGGAATTTTTGTTTGTTTGTGAGCAGACACTTTTCAAAACAAGACATAAATGTGGCCAAGAAGCATATGAAGAAATGCTCAACATCACTAATTAGAGAAATGCAAATCAAAACCACAATGCGATACTATCTCATGCATGTCAGAATAGCTATGATTAAAAAGTCAAAAAATAACAGATGCTAGTGAGGTTGTGGAGAAAAGGGAATGCTTATACACTACTGGTGGGAATATAAATTAGTTCAGCCATTGCGGAAAGCAGTTTGGAGGTTTCTCAAATAACTAAAAATGGAACTACCATTTAACATAGCAATCCTATGAATATAAATATTTCCCAGAAAAATATAAATCTTTCTACCATAAAGACACATGCACCTGTAGGTTCATTGCATCACTATTCACAATGCAAAGACTGAAATCAACCTAACTGCCCATTAAGGGTGAATTGGATTTAAAAAAAAAGTGTTACACATACACTATGGAATACTACACAGCCATAAAAAGAATAAAATCATGTATTTTGCAGCAATCTGAATGGAGCTGAAGTCCATTATCCTAAGCAAACTAAACAGGAATAGAGAACAAAATGCTACATGTTCTCACGTGTAAGTGGGAGCTAAACATTGAGTACACGTGGACACAAAGAAGGGAACAATAGACACCAGGGGCTACTGGAGGGTGGAGTGTGGGAGGGAGGTGAGGATTGAAAAAGTACCTATGGGGTGGTATGCTTATTACCTGGGTGACAAAATAATCTGTACACGAAACACGTGTGACATGCAATTTATCTATATAACAAACCTTCAAATATACCCTTGAAACTATAAGTTAAAAATTAAATAAATAAATAAAAATTTTTAAAAAGAAAGTAAAATTCAGAAGCTGAAAATAAACAAAATCATCAGTAAGGCAATCTGCTTAAAACTTTGAAAGAAAGAAAATTAGTGTATTGGGGAGGTATCTGCAATCCCATGTATATTGCAGCACTTTTCACAATAGTCAAGATTTGGAAGCAATCTAAGTGTCCATCAACAGATGAATGAATAAATAAAATGTGGTACATAGACATAATAGAGTAATATTCAGCTATAAACAATGAGATCCTGTGATTTGCAACAACACGCAAGGAACCAGATATCTTTATGTTAAATGAAATAAGCCAGGTTCAGAAAGATAAACTTTGCATGTTCTCATTTATTTGTAGGAGCTAAAAATTAAAACAATTGAAGTCATTGAGACAGAGAGTAGAATGATGGTCACCAGAGTCTGTGAAGGGATAGTGGAGGGTACAGGGGCAGAGAAGGAAAAGTGTTAATGGGTACAAAAAATAGGAAGAAGATCTAGCATTTGATAACACAACAAGACTACTATAGTCAATAATAATTTAACGGTACATTTAAAAATAACTGAAATAATATAATTGGATTGTTTGTAACACAAGTGATAAATGCTTGAGGAGATGGATACATCAGTTACCCTGATGCAATTATTACACATTGTATGCCTGTATCAAAATATCCCATATACCTCATAAGTATATATATTATTTACCAGAAAAAGTTTAATACTTAAAAAATTAAATTAAAAGAAACTTTAAACACTAGAGAAATGCAAAAAGTCAGTGGGCATTTGTGGTTTCTTTGAGAGTGTGAGCTACTCTAAATTTGATAGTGGCGATGGATTGCACACTGTGAGTATATTAAATATCACTGAATTTTACACTTTGGGTAAAACGTATGACATTTGAATTATATCTTCATAAAGTTGTTTAAAAAAATGTCATTAAGTTAGACAGCCTTAGTTTGAACCTGGCTTTGTTAAGTAATAGTTTTGTGGCTATAAATGTGTAACTCAACCGCTTTAAGCCTGAATTTTTTTTCCACAATGGGGTTATAGTAATAATATTAAGATCTTTCACATGCAATTTTTATATGTGCCATCTGACACAAAGTTTGTAAATAGCTAAATATAGTCCCTTTCTTAAAGGCTACACAAACTAAATAATTAAAAAAGGAATTGCTTTTGGCATAAGTTTTCTTATCTGTAAAATGAAGAAGTTGGACTAGACAAATTCTAATATATTTTTGAGTTATTCAAAGCATAAATATTCTATGTATGGGTAAGAAACCATGCCATTGAACAGTATGTTTATCAAAGCAATGTGGATATAAATATGTTATTGAAAATTAAAACTTTTGGCTCTGAATTGCAAAATTCTGTTAATAAAAATATATATTTACTACAGTACTTCTCAAGCCTACAAAATATGTAACATTTCTCATCTTTTCTTGGATCATCTAAGCAAGCTTTCTCTATAGCATCTATTTTCATTTAACATATTCAAATGAAACTAATATTCCATAGAACACAACTTGAGAAATACTAATTCTGGAACAACCTGACATAATGTTGTTAAACAAGAGTGAGATTTCATACTTAATATGGTATTTAAGAAGGTGCTAATACATCGTTACAAGAGTACAAACCAGACTAGAAATGGTAATGGTTTGGACATGTTCAAATTGTAAATAACAGAGAGCTGCTACTTGGTCAGGTTGTGATAGAAGTATATTTCCCATTCTGCTACAATCACCATTGTAGACACCATCATAATTAGTAGCAAATTTAATTATGATAATTTCACTATTTATAAAGGTTTTTGTTGAAGGAGTTAAGAATATGGCACCCCAAAATATGGGGCTCTGTCATATTATTTTGAATCAAAGAAACTTAAAAGAACACAGCAGTGGCAAGAAGATCACTCAGACCTGTATTCTGTTTCTTGTTTTGTTTTGTTTCTTTATTATTTTTATTTGTATAAATTTATGAGCTAGAAGTGCAACTTAGTTACATGGATATATTGTTTAGTTGTCAAGTAAGGGCTTTAAGGTACATATACATCAACTGAATAATGTGCATTGTACCCATTAAGTCACTTTTCATCATCCACCCCTTGCCTACCCACTCACCTTTCTGAGTCTGTGTTGTCTGTCATTCCATTCTGTATGTCCTTGTGTACACATTTTTTAGCATCCACTTACAAGTGATAACATGCAATATTTGATTTTCTGTGCCTGGCTTATTTCACTTAAGATAATGGCCTCCAGTTCCATTCATCTTAGTGCAAATAACATCTTTTCATTTTTTGTGGCTCAATAGTGTTCCTTTGTGTACATATAACAAAATTTTAATCAAATCTTCTGTGATGGACACTTATGTTGATTCCATGGCTTTGCCATTGTAAATAATGCTGTGATTAATATATGGTTACAGGTATCTTTTTGATAAAGGGATTTATTTTCCTTTGGGTAGATATAAGACATGAAATTCCCACGTGGGAGATGTACTCCAATACCACAAGGAATAACATTCTTATCAAGAATGAGAAGTTGAGACTGAAAGAATTTTGTACAAACAAACCTGTTGAACTAATGCTTATCTTTCTAGTCAGTTATCTTTCCAATTAACTACTCTAGACCAAGCTCCTTTGCTTTGTCACATTTCACAACTTACTATTATTTGTCCAATTCTTTTTGTAAGTGTTTGATTGTTTTGTTGGGTTGTCATCTCTTAATGAGGGCTCCGGTGCTGCATAAAACTTGTATTAAATAAGTTTGTATGTTTTTTTCCTGTTAAAATATGTTATATCAATTTAATTCTTGGTTGCAACTGGGACCGTAAGAGAATGGAGGTGGAATTTTGTCACCTGTGAAGTGTTTACAAAATGTTTAAACTATAGATTCTGAAAAGACAATTGTAAATTTATTTGAAAAATAGTGTTGAATTACCAAAAATGTAAAAAACAAACATGGAGCACATACTAATTTAAATAATTTAAATTGCTATAATAGTTTACTATTCACAGAAGCCATATGTGTAACAAGGATGTTTGGACAGTAATCAAGAAAATCATTGGAAAGGTCATCAAACACTCTGGCATTTGCAATTCATCACCATTTTATCACTTTGAGAAGCAGAGGGTGGTTGCTCAACTATGTGATACTCTCAAAACAGCATTTCCCGTAATGCAACTCAGAGTGTATCCAGATGCTTAATTACAGGGTGGAAATTGGGTCCACGGAGATCAGTGAGCCAGCTGCAGAAGAAACATAAACAAGCTTTCAGATTGTGCTCCACAGTACTTCAAAGTTTCAATAGCCCTTAACGGGGGAGGCCTTTGAAGGAAGCATACTCACAGAGGAGAGATTTAATACCTTTTCCTCTATGTTCCGGAGTATCACATTCTGGGGCTAGAAAAATAACACAAATCATAAGTTGTAAATCAAGGCAAGAAAGACAAATGCTTTCAGGATTTAGACAAAAAAAACAAAAAAGAATGAACCTGGCAGGTTATAAAACATTAGGTAGTGCTGAAGAATTTTACATGCACCATGTAAAGATATGCCAATTCTAGAGATGCGTATTTTTTTTTAAACACTGTGGGAGCCAAATAAAAATCACTTGAATTTAGTTCCTTATCTGACAGTAGCAGCCTCTGTCAACTAAACAAAATTATGGCTTGATTATCAAATATGATTTAGTCTAAACTTTTCCTGGATGAACATAAGGATTTTGAGAAATGTCAAAATTTTTATTATTTTTTTTAGAAACAGGGCCTTGCTATGTTGCCCAGGCTGATCTTGAACTCCTGGGCTCAAGTGATCCTCCCCTGACTTGGCCTTCCGAAGTTCTGAGATTACAGGTGGGAGCCACTGTGCCTAGACTATCTTCTTTTTTAAAAAAATAATAGTTATTGCTATATTATAGATGTACATATTTGTGGAGTAGATGTGATATTTTAACAACTGTATACAACATGTAATGATCAAATCGGGGTAACTTCAAACATTTATCTATTCTTTGTGTTGGGAACATTACAATTATGTTCTTCCAGCTATTTAGAAATATACAATAAATTGTCGTTAACTAAAATTTTCCTACTATACTATTGAATACTATAACTTATGTCTTCTATTTAACTGTATTTTTGTACCCATTAGCCAGTTTCTTTTTATCTCTTCCTTTCCTCATGTTTTCCCAGCTTCTGGTAACAACCTTCTACTCTCTACCTCCATGAAATCCACTTTTTTAGCTCCCACATATGAGTGAGAACATGCCGTATTTGTCTTTCTGTGCTTGGCTTATTTCACTTAGTTCCATCTATGTTGCTGCAAATAAGAGTGTTTCATTCATTTTTACAGCTGAATAATATTCCATTGTGTATATGTACTATATTTTTATTACTCATTCATCTGTTAATGGACACAGGTTGATTTCATATATTGGCTATTGTGAATAGTGCTGCAATAAACATGGGAATGCAGATATCCCTTTGATATACTGATTTCACCAGCCTATTTAATAAGGCAGCCTCCATATCCACTTCTTTTTGTCTCTCTTCCATCCTATTCCAACTCTTAGACTCCTTTAAGGGTGTTTGGCTACTTGGTATAACAAATAATGTTCATTTTCCAGCCCAAATTACCGATGTTTTAGGCAAGAAGAGTGAGTAATGTGAGAAAACCAAGGGCCACTGGAGCAGACATACTTAGTTAGGAGAGTGCTTGTTAAGTGTTTTACAAAGGTCATATAGTTTATCTGTCATGATGGCTAGAATGCCACAGGAGGCTGGGGAAAATTGAAAAGGTATTCTTGTCACATCACATAATATGTTCTGTATTATTTAAAAAATCATCTACTAATTATCATTTCCAACACTAGTAAACCTTAAGAGAAAAATGGAGAAGGTTTTATTACACAATACATTTGAAAGTTGGGAAAGGAACATTTAATTTTATGTAACTAATTTTATGTGACTTATTTTTTTACAGTAGTCTACCACCCTCCCCACATTGACAAACTAAAGAATAGTTTTCCTGTCATATGTAGCAGGGTCAGATTAAAGTTCTATAGTGAGGAAAAGGTAATTGATAAGATTTTCATATAAAAGAAAAGTAAGGAAAAGTAACTTAATAAAAGATCCAAATCTATAATGTGTGAAATACAACTAGCAATTTGTGACCAAGTGATCAATATCATAAAATCTGTCTATAGATATAGGTAACATTTTGATAAAGTCTTTATTAAGTGTTCATACTCTATTTCTCACATCATGTACCCTGACAAAACATATTATGTCTGTAATGTATTCAGTTAATTTTGTAATATCTGAATATGTAAGAAGTTTGAAGCAGTTTTAACTTAAACAGACCAATTCTCAAGAAAATATTTTCTTTACATATTTTATCCCTCTATTAAAATATATATTTGAAAGTAAAAGATACTGTATTAGTCCGTTTTCACACTGCTTATAAAGATACCACTTTCACACTGCTTATAATACCCTAGGCTGGGCAATTTACAAGAGAAAGAGGTTTCTTGGACTTACAGTTCCACATGGATGGGGAGCCCTTGCAATCATGGTGGAAGGCAAGATAGAGCAAGTCACATCTTACATGGATGGCAGCAGGCAAAGAGAGAGGTTGTGCAGAGAAACTCCCATTTTTAAAACCATCAGATCTCCTGAGACCCACTCACTATCACAAGAACAGCACAGGAAAGACCAACCCTATGATTCAATCATCTCCAACTGGGTCCCTCCCACAACACATGGGAATTATGGGAGCTACAAGAAGAGATTTGAATGGGGACACAGAGCCAAACCATATCATTCCACCCTGGCTCCTCCCAAATCTCATATCTTCACATTTTAAAACCAATTGTGCCTTCCCAACAGTCCCCCAAAGTCTCAAAAGTTCAAAGTCAAAACTGAAACAAGGCAAGTCCCTTCTGCCTATGAGCCTGTAAAATCAAAAGCAAGTTAGTAACTTCCTACATACAATGGGGGTACAGCCATTGGGTAAACATATTCATTCAAAATGGAAGAAATTGGCCAAAAGAAGGAGCTACAGGCCCCATGCAAGTCCAAAATCCAGCAGGGCAGTCAAATCTTGAAGCTCCAAAATTATGTCCTTTGACTCTATTTCTCACATCGAGGTCACACTGATGCAAAAGGTAGGTTCCCATATTCTTGGGCAGCTACACCCCTGTGGCTTTGCAGGGTGTAGCCTCCCTCCTAGCTGCCTTCACAGGCTTTTCCAGGTGGATGATGCAAGCTGTCAGTGAATCTACCATTCTGGGGTCTGGAGGACAGTGGCCCTCTTCTCACAGCTCCACTAGGCAGTGCCCAGTAGGGACTCTATGTGGTGGCTCTCACCCCACATTTCCCTCTGCACTGCTCTAGCAGAGGTCCTTCATGAGGACCCCACCCCTACGTCAAACTTCTGCCTAGGCATTCAGGCATTTCCATACATCTTCTGAAATCTAGGTGGAGGTTCCCCATACCTAATTCTTGACTTCTGTGCACCTGGAGGCTCAACACCATGTGGAAGCTGCCAAGGCTTGAGGCTTGTACCCTTTGAAACCATGGCCCAATCTCTACATTTTCCCCTTTCAGCCATGGCTGGAGTGGCTGGAACTCAGTGCCTAGGCTGCACAGAGCATGGGAATGCTGGACCAGGTCCACAAAATCACTTTTTCCTCCTAGGCCGCCAGGCCTGTGATGGGAGGGTCTGCCACAAAGGTCTCTAATATGCCCTGGAGAAATTTTCCCCCATTGTCTTGGTAATTAACATTCTGCTCCTTGTTACTTATGCAAATTTCTGAAGCTGGCTTGAATTTCTCATCAGAAAATGGGATTTTCTTTTCTATCGCATTGTTTGGCTGCAAGTTTTCCAAACTTTTATTCTCTGCTTTCCTTATAAAGTTGAATGCCTTTAATTGCACCCAAGTCACTTCTTGAGTACTTTACTGCTTAGAAATTTCTTCTGCCGGATACCCTAAATCGTCTATCTATAGTTTAAAGTTCCACAGATCTCTAGGGCAGGGGCAAAATGCCACCAGTCTCTTTACTGTAACATAGCAAGAGTCACCTTTACTCCAGTTCCCAACAAGTTCCTCATCTCCATTTGAGACCACTTCAGCCTGGACTTTATTGTCCATATCACTATCAGCATTTTGGGCAAAGCCATTCAACAAGTCTCTAGGAAGTTCCAAACCTTCCCACATTTTTCTGTTTCCTTCTGAGCCTCCAAGTTGTTCCAACCTCTGCCTGTTACCCAGTTCCAAAGTCGCTTCCATATTTTTGGGTATATTTTCAGCAGCACCCCACTCTACTGGTACCAATTTACTGTATTCATCTGTTTTCATGCTGCTGATAAAGACATACCTGATTTACAAAAGAAAGAGGTTTAATCAGACTTACAGTTCCACATGGCTGGGGAGGCCTCACAGTCATGGCAGAAGACAAGAAGGAGCAAGTCACATCTTACGTGGATGGTGGCAGGCAAAAAAGAGTGACTCCTGTTTTTTTGTTTCTGTTTTTGTTTTTTTTGAGATGGAGTCTTGCTTTGTCACCCTGGCTGGAGTGCAATGGTGCGATCTCAGCTCACCGCAACCTCTGCCTCCCTGGTTGAAACAATTCTCCTGCCTCAGCCTCCCAAGCAGCTGGGATTACATGCCCGCACCATCACACCCAACTAATTTTTGTATTAACCCACCTCAGCCTCCTAAAGTGCTGAGATTACAGGCATGAGCCACTATGCTGGTCCTGAACTCCTAACCTCAAGTGATCCGGGATGGAAAATGGGATTTTCTTTTCTATCGCATTGTCAGGCTACAAATTTTCCAAACTTTTATGCTCTGCTTCCCTTATAAAACTGAATGTCTTTAACAACACTCAAATCACCTCTTATTTTTATTATTATTATTATTTTTTTTTGAGGTAGAGCCTCATTCTGTCACCCAGGCTGGAGTGCAGTGGTGCAATCTCAGCTCACTGCAACCTCTGCCTCTCAGGCTCAAGCAATTCTTCTGCCTCAGCCTCCCAAGTAGCTGGGAATACAGGCATGTGCCAGCAGGCTGAGCTAATTTTTTTTATGTACTTTTAGTAGAGATGGGATTTCACCATGTTGGCCAGGCTGTTCTTGAACTCTTGATCTCAAATAATCCACCCACTTCAGCCTCCCAAAGTGCTGAGATTACAGGCATGAGCCACTGTGCATGGCCCTCAAATCAACTCTTGAATGTTTTACTGCTTAGAAATTTCTTCTGCCAGGTACCCTAAATCATCTCTCTCAAGTTCAAAGTTCCACAAATCTCTAGGTGAGGGGCAAAATGCCACTAGTGTCTTTGCTAAAACATAACAAGAGTCACCTTTGTTCCAGTTCCCAACAAGTTCCTCATCTCCATCTGAGACCACCTCAGCCTGAACCTTATTGTTCATATCACTATCAGCATTTTTGTCAAAGCCATTCAACAAGTCTCTAGGAAGTTCCAAACTTTCCCACATTTTCCTGTCCTCCTGAGCCCTCCAAACTGTTCCAACCTCTACCTGTTACACAGTTCCAAAGTTGCTTCAACATTTTCGGGTATTTTTTCAGCAGCACCCCACTCTATTGGTACCAATTTACTGTATTAGTGCATTTTCATTCTGCTGATAAATACATACCCGAGACTGGGCAATTTACAAAAGAAAGAGGTTTAATGGACTTACAGTTCCACGTGGCTGGGGAGGCCTTGCAGTCATGGTGGAAGGCAAGGAGGAGCAAGTCACACCTTATATGGATGGCAGCAGGCAAAGACAGAGCTTGTGCAGAGAAGCTTCCATTTTCAAAACCATCAGATCTTGTGAAACCCATTCACTATCACGAGAACGGCACAGTAAAGACCCACCCCCATGAATCAATCATCTCCCACTGGGTCCCTCCCACACAACGTAGGAATTATGGGAGCTACAAGATGAGATTTGAGTGGGGACCCAGAGCCAAATCGTATCAGATACTTTGTTTTCAGAATGGTCTGAAAACAGTTGACAGACTTTTTGTCATAATAAAATTAATATTAGAAATTTATCTTAAATAATTCTATTTTATATCTAAGTCATATGTAATAGCAAATTTTCATAAAAAGATAACATTTGATAGAAAATGTTTATTATGAGGCAACACAGTAAACTCTTTAGAATGAATATGCAGCTATTGTGTACTAAGTCGATTTGTAAAATGTAGCATAAATGTATACACACACAATTGTATGTGGAGTAGATTGGGTGGGAGAGACAGCAGTTTTAATACAAATTAATTAGGCTTTTTGAAAAATATCTGAAATCTCTGAATTACAGACTTATTTATGCAGTAGATAGTCATCATGTTTTTAATGCCTATATGTGTAAGCAAATGGTTTAGAGAGAAAACAATTACTAGATGAGATTTTGTTGTGTATTTCTGCAGGCAACTTTCCAACAGACAAAGAAACTTTCTTCAAAAGAACTGAAAACCTTCAGGTCTCCTACATTTGTTTTTATACATGGTCTGCAAGGTGATTAGAGGCAGATGTTGTAATAATATTCTGTGTCTATTATAATTTAATTTCATAGGTGCAATGTATTTGTCCATATTTATGCTGCTAATAAAGACATACCTGAGACTGGGCAATTTACAAAATAAAGAGGTTTAATGGATTCACAGTTCCCCATGACTGGGGAGGCCTCACAATCATGGTGGAAGGCAAGGAGGAGCAAGTCACATCTTAAGTGGATGGTGGCAAGCAAAGAAAGAGTTTTTGCAAGGGAACTCCTCTTTATTAAACCATCCGATCTCATGAGGCTTATTCACTATCATAAGAACAGCATAGGAAAGAACTGCCCCTATGATTCAGTTACCTCCCAATGGGTCCCTCCCAGGACACGTTAGAACTGTGGGAGCTAGAGTTCAAGACGAGATTTGGGTGGGGACATAGCCAAACCATATCGTACAATAAAAAGTCATAGGCTGAAATAACCTGGACTTGGATAACAAGATTGTGTAAACATCAGATAGAGCTTTAAATCAGCCAAAATGATTGGTTTCATAGATCTTGAATCTAGTAAGTTTTCCAAGTGGCACAGATGAACATGGAAATCAACATATCAGATTTGCTAAAAAGCAAAGTTTGGATGGGAACATAGTTCACAGATTGCCTGAAACTAAATCCCAGCTTCTAACTGAAAGGCTCTTCAAAACCTAAAGCAAAGGAATTGTTTTAGCAAATTAGAAAGTCTCGTCAAGTGCACATTTTATCGTAATCTAAAATCATGTTGTGAAGAGCATGGCTTTACGTAAATTAATCACTTCAGAAGTTTTAAGGAAAAGAAGCCTGACTTTTGTCCTCCTCCCCAGTGTCTGCCATTGCCATCTTTACGTTCATGGGTATCCAGTGTTTAGCTCCTACTTATAAGTGAGAACAGGTAATATTTGGTTTTCTGTTCCTGCATTAATTCACTTAGCATGATGGCTTCCAGCTGCATCCATGTTGCTGGAAAGGAACTGAGTTTGGTATTTATTTATGGCTGTGTAGTATTCCACTGTGTATACATATCACATTTTCTTCATCTAATCCACCGTTAATGAGCAACTAGATTGATTCCATTCATTTGCTATTATAAATAGTGTTGTGATGAACATAGAAGCACAGGTATCTTTTTGGTATAATGTAATGGGATTGTTGGGTCAAATGGTAGTTTTAAGTTCTTTGAGAAATATCCAAACTACTTTTCACAGTGGCTGCAATAATTTACATTCTCACCAATAGTGTAAAAACATTCCCTTTTCTCCTCAGCTTGGCCAGTATTTGCTGTTTTTGACTTTTTATATTAGCCATTCTGACTGGTGTGAGATAGTGTCTCATTATGGTGTTGATTTGCATCTTTCTGATGATTAGTGATGTTGAGCATTTTGCATTTGTTTGCTGGACACTTGTATGTCTTATTTTGAGAAGGGTTTGTTCATGTTTTTTGCCTACTTTTAAAAAAATTTAACTTTAATTTTAGATGCAAAGAGTACATGTGCAGGTTAATAATATGCATATATTGTACTCAGGTAGTGAGCATAGTGCCCAATAATTGGTTTTTCAACCCATTTTCCCTCTCTCTCCCATCTAGTTGTGATATGGTTTGGCTCTGTGTCCCCCCACACACCTCATTTTGAATTTCACTCCCGTAATTCTCACGTACTATGAGAGGGAGCCGGTGGGAGATAATTTGAATCACGTGGACAGTTTTCTCCATACTTTTCCTGTGGTAGTGAATAAGTCTCATGAGAACTGATAGTTTTATCATGGATTTCCACTTTTGCATCCTTCTCATCTTTCTGTTGCCACTGCCATGTAAGAAGTGCCTTTTGACTCTTGCTATGATTCTGAGGCCTCCCCAGCCATGTGAAACTGTAAATCAAATTGAACCCCTTTTTGTCCTGAGTTTTGGGTATGTCTTTATCAGCAGTGTGAAAACGAACTAATAGAGTAAATTGGCACCAGTACAGTGGAGTGTTGCTGAAAAGATACTCAAAAATGTGGGAGCGACTTTGGAACTGGATAACAGGCAGAGGTTAGAACAGTTTGGAGGGCTCAGAAGAAGACAGAAAAATGTGGGAAAGTTTGGAACTCCCTGGAGACTTGTTGAATGGCTTTGACAAAAATGCTGATAATAATATGAACAATAAGATCCAGGCTGAGGTGGTCTCAGATGGAGATGAGGAACTTGTTGGCAGCTGGAGCAAAGGTGACTCCTGCTATGTTTTAGCAAAGAGACTAGCGGCATTTTGCCCCTGCCCTAGAGATTTGTGGAACTTTGAACTTCAGAGAGATGATTTAGGGTATCTGGTGGAAGAATTTTCTAAATAGCAAAGCATTTGAAAGGTGACTTGGGTACTGTTAAAAGCATTCCATTTTAAAAGGGAAACAGAGCATAAAAGTTCAGAAAATTTGCAGCCTGATGATGCAGTAGAAAAGAAAAAAAACATTTTTTAAGGAAAAATTCAAGCCAGCTGCAGAAATTTGCATAAATAGCAAGGAGCCTAATGTTAATCCTCAAGACCATGGGGTAAATGTCTCCAGGCCATGTCAGATACCTTCATGTAGCCCCTCCCATCACAGGCTCAGAGGCCTAGGAGGAAAAATTGGTTTCATGGGCCGGGCCCAGGGTCCCCATGCTGTGTGCAGCCTAGGGACTTGGTGCCCTGTGTCCCAGCCACTTGAGCCGTGGCTGAAAGGGGCCAACATAGAGCTTGGGCTGTGGCTTCAGAGGGTGGAAGCCCCAAGTCCTGGCAGCTTTCACATGGTGTTGAGCCTGAGGGTGCATAGAAGTCAAGAGTGAAGTTTGGGGACCTCTGCCTAGATTTCAAAAGATGGATGGAAATGCCTGGATGCCCAGGCAAATGTTTGTTACAGGGGCAAGGCCCTCATGGAGAACCTCTGCTAGGGCAGTGCGGAAGGGAAATGTGGTTTTGCAGCCTCTACACATAGTCCCTACTGGGCACTGCCTAGTGGAGCTGTGAGAAGAGAGCCACCATCCTCCAGACCCCAGAATGGTAGATCCACTGACAGCTTGCACCATGCACCTGGAAAAGCTGCAGACACTAAATGCCAGCGCATGCAAGCAGCCAGGAGGGAGGCTATACCCTGCAAAGCTACAGTGGCAGAGCTGCCAAAGACCACAGGAACCCACTTCTTGCATCAGTGTAATTTGGATGTGAGACTTGGAGTCAAAAGAGATCATTTTGGAGCTTTAAAATTTGACTACCCCACTGGATTTTGGACTTGCATGGGCCCTGTAACCTCTGGGTTTGGTCAATTTCTCCTAGTTGGAACAGCTGTATTTACCCAATATCTGTACTCTCATTGTATCTAGGAAGCAATTAGCTTGCTTTTGACTTTACAGGCTCATAAGCAGAAGGGACTTGCCTTGTCTCAGATCAGACATTGGACTGTGGACTTTCAGGTTAATGCTGAAATGAGTTAAGACTTTGTGGGACTGTTGGGAAGGTATGATTGGTTTTGAAATATGAGGACCTGAGATTTGGAGGGGCCAGGGGTGGAATGATATGATTTGGCTATGCCCCCACCCAAATCTCAACTTGAATTGTATCTCCCAGAATTCCCACATGTTGTGGGAGGGACACAGCAGGAGGTAATAGAATCATGGGGGCCAGTCTTTCCCATGCTATTTTCATGATAGTGAATAAGTATCACAAGATGTGATGGGTTTATCAGGGGTTTCTGATTTTGCTTCTTCCTCATTTTTCTCTTGCCACCACCATGTAAGAAGAGTCTTTCACCTCCCGCCATGATTCTGAGGCCTCCCCAGCCATGTGGAACTGTAAGTCCAATTAATCCTCTTTTTCTTCCCAGTCTCAGGTATGTCTTTATCAGAGCATGAAAACAGACTAATACAAGTAGTCTGCAGCGTCTATTGTTCCTATGTTTATGTCCATGTGTACTCAACATTTAGCTCCCACTTGTAAGTGAGAATATGTCGTTTTTGGTTTACTGTTCCTTCATTAATTTGCTGAGGATTGTGGCCTCCAATTCTATCCATCTTGCTGCAATGGACATGATTTCAGTATTTTTATGGCTACATAGTATTCCATGGTGTATATGTACCACATTTTCTTTGTTCAGTCCTTTGATGGGCACCTATGATTTTTATGTTTTTGCTATTGTCCACTTTTTAATTGGATTGTGTGTTTTCTCTAGTGTCTTTCTTCACGTTTTATGTCTCTGGATTTCACTAGCGCTTGAATTATGAACTTCAAATCCTAGCAGTAAATAAAATATTGCCTTCCAGAACACATATTATTTTAAACAATTATGCCTGTTTTACTGTCTTTTATATTCTCAAGAAAAGTTATTTGCACGTTTTTCCCATTCACCCAGCATCTACCATGGCAATCAGTTTATAAATCTTAAATGTTCTTGAATTGTATATGATTCAGCATTTGCTTTATCAAATATAAGTAATGTTTGGGGGGATAGAAATTGACTCAGGAATCAAAAAGCTCATGCACAATATTTGTTCATTATGCTGTTACCATGACAATCCAGTTGGAATGTGCAAACTTGTAAGCCAAATCTCTTCTATACAGATCAATGTTGATTAATTCTCAAGGTTGGACAAGATTTTATGTAGTCTATGCAGCCACTTGGTAATAAAGAAAGCAGCAAAAGTGGTAGTCAGCAATTTGGGCCAACTATCTTACTTTTCTGCTCTCTTCCAACAGCTCTGCTAGATGCAAGTGACAGAAAATTAATGAACTCTTGCAGGAATTCTATCCCAACCTCTGGAATTCAAGAATGTCCTCTATTTTGGCTAGTTAGAATTGTTAGAGTCATTCTCCATGGAAAATGACTTGATTCATAGTTATTCTATTATTAAGAAAACAATGGCTGGCTGGGTGCGGTGGCTCACGCCTGTAATCCCAGCACTTTGGGAGGCAGAGGTGGGCGGATCACGAGGTCAGGAGATTGAGACCATCCTGGCTAACACGGTGAAACCCCGTCTCTACTAAAAATACAAAAAAATTAGCCGGGCATAATGGCGGGCGCCTGTAGTCCCAGCTACTCGGGAGGCTGAGGCAGGAGAATGGCATGAACCCTGGGAGGCGGAGCTTGCAGTGAGCCGAGATTGTGCCACTGCACTCCAGCCTGGGCAACAGAGCGAGACTCCGTCTCAAAAAAAAAAAAAAAAAAAAAAAGAAAAGAAAAAAGAAAACAATAGCTGTGATAGAATACACTTTTCGGACTGCTTATTTTTTTCTGTAATGGATTTAATGGGTTATTAAACTTACTTCTTATTTTTAATTTGCCTTAAGACTTCAAAGTAAGGAGAATAAAGGAAGCCACAATAAGAAGGGAATTTGTGACTAAACTAGCAAAATGTGAAAGTATGTCAAAATTAAGAGTATAATCATTTGGAAAATGTTTTTTGTAAAGATTAATATGTAGAAGAAAAGAAAATGATATTAAAGTAGGGATACCAGAGATATTGGAACATTTCAACTTAAAAAATAATCAATGAATACTTGAAGAAATGAATTAAGTAGGTGAAGCATATGGAGTGGTGTATATTTGGTAAACTTTAAATGCTTCTCAAACACACTGCAAACAGATTAAATGGATGAGATAGGAACTTTTTTTACAAAGCAGAAAAAAGCAGGAAGGGAATCATATCCGTAGAAACAAAATGGTTTGTTTGGAATTGGCCTGAGCTGTGAGGTTATATCTGCTTTTGTGTAAAGTACTAGAGGTAATTTAATGCCTAAAAGTAGGAGCTGTGAAAATATTTTGACTTATTTTCCAGACTCTAAGTAGTTAGATAGGAGACTAAACCACAGGAAAAGGTAATCTGTTAGATGTAGTCCTTTCAGCCACTAGAAAAAATATTTTGGGTTAACTGATGACATCTTATAAACTCATATAATTTTATGTTATAGGAAATTAGATTGAGAAATTACTGATGGTTGTACATTATAAATTTAACTCTCAAAAATAAAAAAATTAAGCATTGCAATTATATAGTGAAAAATAACCATGGAATACAAAGCAGTTATTAAACTCAGGTTTTCAAGATGAAAAAGTTCTAGGAATCTATTACACAACAATGTGAATATACTGAGACCTACTTAACTGTACATGTAAAAATAATTAAGATAGTAAATTTGATGCTGTATTTTTTACCATAATTGTGTATATTATATTATTTTAATATATTATTAAGACTAGATTATATTTCATGTATTATGTAATATATATTAAATCTGTTAAAGATATTGGAAAACTAAAAACACAAGAAAAACTATTTTGACTGAACACAGCTTGGAGTAAACTCAGGTAAGCTCTTTCCCATTTGAGTCAAAAATTTCAAAACAAGTCATGTAGAATAAATTATAAAAGACATTAAATTTTAATAATAATAAATTAACCTTTTTAAGGCATTTTCATTCTTCTGCACTTAAGAATGCATGTTTCCAAGGTCTGAGTTTATACTACTATGACTAGTAAATATAAACATCCACATGTATTTATAGCATAATGATCTTTCTTAAGCCAAGAAAATACATATTAAAACCATAAACTTTATGTAGGTTGCCAAAATTCTTTAAATTATATAATTATTTTTAATGTATTTTAGTTTTGCTTAAAAGAGGGAGTGATTTATATTTTTGATGTTTTTAACTAAGTAATGGCAATATGGAACTTTTCCACAGAAACTCCATAAATATCATAGTAATTTGTTGGTAATACTATTTGTTTCCATAAAATTGAAAATGTACTACAGACATGGGTGAGTGCTGTTTTCCAAAACATATGTAAATAATTTTTTAGATAAACTTTCACACTGTTAGCAGTGGAAGGTATCTGAGTTACATTGCACCAAAATATGTTACTGGCAGAAAATCTATACAGGCCTGCAGCAACCTCACTTCTCGCCTCCTCAGAAGAAAGAATTCAACTGAGTGGCATAAGGCAGACTGAGGCAAGTTTTAGAACAGGAGCGAAAGTTTATTACAAAGCTTTAGGGCAGAAATGAAAGGAAGGAAATACACCTGGAAGAGGGTCAAGTGGGCAACTTGAAAGATAAGTGCACTATTTGACCTATTGACTTGGGGTTTTATATGTTGGTATACTTCTTCCAACTGCTGAGACTTTACTGGGAAGCTGCTAATCAGTTTCAGGTGTTTTCCATCGAGTAAGAGATGGGCCTTTCCCTTGTGTCAGCTGTGACCAATCATTAATTTAGAGAGACAGTTAACAACTGCCTGACCATCACCTGGTTGACTGACACTCCTGGTATGTGTTGGGGGAGGGTAGGGGTAGACCTCTCCGGTCCTGCTCATACAAGACTAGCTAACTTCTGTAACGTTTCTTTCCTCAAGATTCCAAGACACCAATTCTTTGGGGAAAATGGATGAAGGTAAGTCTTCTGTAACTGCTTCCTGCTGATAGAGGGGTGGAAGTCGTGGTGATTTCTGTGGGTCTTATCCTCTTGCTGTCAGGGCAGGGTTGGCTCTGTGGGTTGGCGAAAGTGGTATGCAGTGAGGTCCAAGGGGTACAGGGGCAGGATTTCACCTGTGTCATGACCCACTGGAAAACTTGGCCCTGGGGTGTAACAGGAATAAAAAGTGTATGGTAAGTCGTAAGGAGCTGGCAGAGCTGGGGTTCCAGTTAGTGTCCTGGCAATGGGCCAACAGACATCCAAAAGGGAGCCCACTTCTCTGCTGCTGAGCAAACACAGCAAGAGCCATGGGTGCATGAATAACAGGGAGTGTGTGTTTTAAGGCAGAGTAGAAAGTCAGGTGGCATGCGAAGTGAAACCAGAGAAAAGGTAGACTTGCCCCTGAGGTGGACCAACTGGCAGGTGCTCAAAGCCACTTCAGAACACACACAGAGAAAACAGGAGAATAAATGGTGCAGGATTTGGGAGAAAGAGCTGATTTTAGTTGAAAAAGCCGAGAAAACCCAAAATGTTGCACAGTTTTAGGCTTTAGCCCTACCACTCTCATCAGCCTCCTGTCCAGGATGGCCATTAGTACTTCAGTTCTACTTGGTGTGGACTTCAAGTTCCTTTCCACCTCCATGAGCCACCCCTCAGGGTGAGCTGAGAGATCAGCTGTGGGGATCAGAATTGCTTATCGCCAAGAAGACTTGTTCTGGGGGCTGGTTAGTAAGCAGGAGAGAGAAAGGGAGAAGAAAACCACATACAGGGGTTGAACATCTCCAGCCAAAGAAGGTCTGTTGCCACTAGGGAACATATCTGAGTCATGCAGCATCAGAGTATGTTAGTGGTGGAAGTTATACAAGTCACAAGGTACCAAAGTATGTTGGCAGTGAAGGGTGTCCTAGTCACACACCACCAAAATATGTTAGTGGTGGAAAAACTGTACCGGTCTACAGCAACTTCAATTCTTGCCTCCTCTGAAGAAAAATTCAACTGAGGGGCATAAGGCAGAAGGAGACAGAGGCAAATTTTAAAGCAGGAGTGAAAGTTGATTACAAAGCTTTAGAGCAGGAATGAAAGGAAGGAAATGTACCCGGACGAGGGCCATGCGGACAACTTGAAAGATATTGTGCTATTTGACCTTTTGACTTGGGGTTTATACTTTGACACAATTCCAGGATCTTGCATCACTTCTTCCGACTTCTGCGATCTTACTGGGAAGCTGCTGATGAGTTTCAGGTGTTTTCTATCTACTAGGAGACTGCATTTCCCTGGTGCTGGCTGTGACTAATTATTACTTTGGAGAGACAGTTAACAACTGCCTGTCCATTACCTGATGGTCGACTGACACTCCTGATGTGTATGTGTGCGCGCTCAGCGGAGCCCTCTTCCTCCCTGCTCATACCAGACTAGCTATATACTATAACAACACTACTTCTCCTGGAAATAGATGAGTAGATTGTATCAGTGAGCCACAATTGATATTTTTATCAAGAAGAATGGCAGCAGTTTTTCATCTGTCTACCAAAATTTTGAAAGAACAAGTTGCAATAATGGTAATAATTTAGGACAAAAAAGCTAGAATTCTGATGTTTCTTTCTGATTAGAGTAGATGTGTATTCACCTGAAACATAGCTCTCACTTTCTAAATATTTGCAGAGGTAAACAAGTCTATCTCTATAAGCTAAAATTATAGAAGCCTATTCTTTAGACCAGTGCAATTCAGAGGGACAAAGAAGCAAAGCTGTATTTTTTGAAATCGCAGTAGGCACTAATTGTTCTGGAAATAATTGCCTGGGGTGAGCACGTTTCAACCCATCCTATGGCATTTAGACAGGAACCTTTCAGCAGCATGTGGCGTGGTTGAATATCATAGCAACACATTAGGGAGGACTACTCTTAGCACTTCTGCATTAATCAAAAGAGTTCTGAATTGTTCAACTTCACTGAAAAAAAAAACAGTATTCAGTGATCTGCTTTCCATTGAGCATGAACAAAGGCTTTTTTCATCTTGGTCAAGGAAAGTAGAATCAGTATATGAGAGCCTGGAATAGAAATGGCTTTAAGGAATTTTACAAGCTCATAAATCTGGAACTGACCTTGAGAGGTCAACTGCACATTTAGACCACACCTAAGTCAATCCTGGAGAGAAGAGACTCTGCCCAGACAAATGAGTTCTTAAAATTCTTTGGCAATAGAAATGAAATGTATTGTGGGATCTTTCTCTCCAAGAATAATCTCTTCTTTTGAGCTTGGATTCCTTATTCCTTCCTGTGAAATCAATGAAAATTCCACATGTGGTAAGATTTTATCAAACACAAAGTGGAAAAAAATATTACTTTCCTTTAAAGCACCATTTGTTGTAAAGAAACTCACTTTAAATAGTAGAGTGTAAAATATTGCGGGGGGGAAGAAAATGCAAGATTGCTTTTATCTTTCCTCTGTTTTGTTATTCATTGCTTGACGCTATTTTATAAATTGACTTTACACTGGGAATAGTGGATTTTGTTGTGTGTTTTTCTTCACTGTTGAAGTGTTTCCTAATTTTATTGTTATTATAGCACTAAAGGTAACTTTTACTTTCAGTGTATTTGTAAAAACACTGAGCCGTCATTATCTCTTAAAAATACAAATTGTATCTTCCATGTATCAGTAGAAACAGTGGTTTGGGGCCAGTATTTCTATTTTTTTTTATAGCAAGTCTGTCATAATGCTTTGTTTGACTCATTATTTTCTTTTATACCATGTGAAGTAGGAATTATTTTCTGTGTGTTAATGTCTTAGGAATCAAAGATTTATTTAACTTAAGTGGCAAGGATTACAATATTAAAAGATTGTTTTATATTCTTTACAATGAATGTCCTCCTTCAGTGACCATTTTGTAATTAAAAATACTAAGTCAGAAGAAATTTGTTATCCTATTTGAAAATTATCTGAGAAATTATTGTTTAGGATAATGTAACACTTTTACATGTTCAGGCCAGGTTGGAAGAAGCTAGCATATATGCATTTGTTATGAAATTTCTAGAAATTTTTCACCATTGTAATGCTATATTTATACTTTAACTTGTACCTAATTAAAGTAACTTTAATATTTTACTGGTCAGTGATTTTCTTGACCTAGCAATTCAAAATAAATTGATGCTCCCAAAGAAGCCACAAATACATAGTATATCTCTTTTAATATAAGGAGAAATGACAAGAGAAAGTAATTAGATATATGTTGGCATTTTATGTTATTTACATAGCAGAACTTATCCATATTGCAAAAGTGAGTTTAAATTGTGTGTGTGTGTGTGTGAATATTTTTATTACTCGAAATGGGAAGATTTCCATTTTACCAGGCAGAAGAGAAAAATAATCCCATGACACAGTGTGGATACTATCTTTATTGATCATAACTTACTAAAAGAAAATCATATTAACATCTAATCTCATATCTATAATCTTTCATCTATATCTTGTAACTGGTGTATATATGTATGTGTGTGTATCTATATATATAATTTTATAATTATACCAAATATATATTATATATATAATTATACCAAATACATACATTATATATAATAAGTATATATTACAATTTATATATATTTGGCTTTATAATTATACCAGATAGAGAGATTTGGTATAATTTATGGACTATTGCCACCATGGAAAGAAAATGAATAATTTATCTCATATTTATCTCCTTGAACATGTAGAGTGGTAACATACTAACACAGATGTTTTAGAGTAAATAGTTCTTCTTCAGGGAGAGTATTTGTTCACTTAAGTAGAATTCAATTACTCCTAATGCCTATCTGTTGCAGAATTTTTGCTTATTTCAGTGAGCTAGCTCCCCATAAGGGTTAGGTAACCTGAGGCCATGATGCTAAGAGAATGACAGAACACGGAACTTATCAAGACATACAGTATAAATTTCAAAAACTATAAGCATTTAAAAAATTTTCCAATATTTTAAGAAATCGTATAATAGTAAATTATCACCCAAGACAAATAAGGGAGCTGATTAAAAGGCATTGTAATCTAAAAATGCCACATTAATCTCATTAGTATAATATAAGCATAGCACTAAAATATTATGAATATGTTTTATAAACATGTAAATAACTATGAAATTGGCTGGTATATATGGATGAATAATAGTTTCAGTTTTGAAAATATTGGACCAGTCTCATATCTTCCAATTATCAGGCTATTTATGATATCCTATGCTGTAAGTCACTTTCTTTTAATAATTTGTCATGAATTAAATATCAAATAATTTTTTTTCTATTAATAGAAGAGGGTTAGTAAATAAGATTGCATTTTTAAATTCATCGTATTGTTCAGCCTTTTTTGTCATTTTGGCAAGAAATGACCTAAATTTAAAAATTGTCATCAGAGAGAGTCAAGTGATCAGTTTCCTTTATCACCATCAATATTGATTTTCAAAATATTAAATAAGTCTGTTTTTCATTAGATGAAGTTTAATTGAGGACATCATCAATTGTGAACTGATTTCAAAAGACAGTTGCTACAGAGGAAACTTTTAACCAAGGGAAGATGAGATCATATCAGAAATGTTTACAAAAATCTATAGATATGGAGATAAAGAACATAATCCAACTTGTCTAGACTCTATGAAATGCTTGCAAGTCTCCAAGAAAATCTATTGGAAAAAAGCTCTCCTGTTTGCTACAAAAAGAAGAAATTGTAAGTAAAATGCATTGTGACATTATTTTTGTAAGTCAACAAAACATTTTGCTGCTTTTCTTGTTCTTTTGGCCTCAAGCAGTATATAATGAAATCTTGCCCCCCACCCTTCCTTTTCAGCATACTTTAAAGGCTCAAGCATCATAAAGCCTGACAAATTGAATATCAGTTCACTTGCTATATTTTACTGGTTGATTTGTATGGCCTGTAATTTTTTACCTATGCAAAAATGTAGTATAGTAGGGTTTTGCCATTAATAAAAGGAAATATGTTTAATTGAATGAGCAGCAATGTCTAGATAATTCCTGTCATGTGTAGCAATGCATAGCAGATCATTATAAAGCATACATTATAAAGTAAAACATTGTTTTGATACATTAACAAGCAACATAGTTGCAAGCATTTTTTTCTCCTATTTTTATTAAGTTTTCACTAACAAACTAACCTGCCAACATTTTTGACCTGTGGGTTTTATGGAGGTTTTTGTTGATACTCATTTCTACCAGAATTATGTATATAAAATTAGCCTGGTTGTAAAGCTCATTCACTTCCTATAAATTTTGGTGAAGTGGTAGCATTTGCCCCAAGTACAGGGGCAACTACATTTTTATAAAAAATTTCCAGACCCCTTAATCTTGAAAAACTTCCTTTCAAAAGCACTATTGATATTGTTACCAAATAAATTCTGGTGAAGGACATCTGGATTGTTTCCAAATCTTAACTGTTGTAAACAGTGATGCAACAGACATAGGAGTGCAGATATCTCTTCAATATACTGACTTCCTTTCTTTTGGGTATATACCCAGCAGTGAAATTGCAGGATCATATGGTAGCTCAATTTTTAGTTTTTTGAGGAACCTTCAAACTGTTCTGCAGTCAGTTGTACACTCTTAGTGGAAATGCAAAGTACTAATTTACATAACATTACATTTATGTTCCCTATACGTAATGTATAAAGGTTCCCTTTTTCTCCACAAGAAAATGTGGTACATATACACAATGGAGTACTATTTGACCATAAAAAAGAATGAGATCCAGTCATTTGCAACAACACGAATGGAACTGGAGATCACTATTTTAAGTGAAATAAGCCAGACAAAGAAAGACAAGCATCACATGTTCTCACTTATTTATAGGACCTAAAAATTAAAACAATTGAACTCATGGACATAGAGAGTAGAAGGATGGTTACCAGAGTCTGGGAAGGGTAGGTGGATATGGTTAATTGTTACAAAAAATAGTTTGAAAGAACAAACATGACCTACTATTTGATAGCACAACATGGTGCCCATAGTCAATAATAACTTAATTGTACTTTTTAAAATAAAGAGTGTAGGCCGGGTGCGGTGGCTCATGCCAGTAATCCCAACACTTTGGGAGGCCAAGGTGGGCGGATTGCCTGAGCTCAGGGGTTCGATACCAGCCCGGGCAACATGGTGAAACCCTGTCCTACTAAAATACAAAAAATTACCAGGGCATGGGGGCATGGGCCTGTAGTCCCAGCTACTCAGGAAGCTGAGGCAGGAGAATTGCTTGAACCCAGGAGGCGGAGGTTGCCGTGAGCCCAGATCACGCCACTGCAGTCCAGCCTGGACGACAGAGCAAGACAGTGAGACTGTGTCTCTGGAAAAAAAAAAAAAAAGAGTGTGATTGGATTGTTTGCAAGTCAAAGTATAAAAGTATAAATGCTAGAGGGGATGGGTACCCATTCTCCATGATGTGGAGAATTTTACTTTGTACATTGCATGCCTGTATCAAAACATCTCATGTATTCCATAAATATACACACTTACTATATACCCACAAAAATAATAAATAAAAATAAAAAAAGGAAAAAAGTAATTCTGGTGAAAATTAAGTGTACTTTATACATAGATACCTATTTATACACATGACGATAACAAGAGTCTCAAAAGTATCTTTCTCTTTCTAGGTTTTTACTCCTTTGTTTAAGTGGAACATAAACATCCTAGAACAGGTTACATAGGAATTCTCCTATTTAAAGCTTAAAAATCTAAAACTGTTTCAGTTCTCCCTTCACATTTGAGTAACAGACTCTTTGAGCATAGGTTTCTAAGTGGGAACATATTTTCTTTCACTATTATGAAAGCATTGCTTAACTGTCTTATAGCATCCACGCCCTCCTTGAGAAGTCCAAGGCCATTCTACTACTCTTCTTAATCTTTCCTTGAAGACTTTCTTTTTTTTCCCCATTCTATAGGAGCTTGCAGAGTCATTTATTTTTCTCCTGTATTATGAAATTTTATAATAATATGCCTTGATAAAGGTTAATTTTTATTTTATCCTCTGGCCATTTGATGGCCTCTGCCAATATGAAAGCTATAAATATCAGTTCTATGACATTCTCTCAATTTTTCTTTTCATTTATTATCTTACATTTCTTTTTGTACTCTTTCTGTAACTCTTACAATTTAGTAAAATTAGGGGACAGATACTGGAATCTGTCCCCTAATTTTACCCTATTGTATTATTATCTATTTTTATCTCTTTTAGTTCTGCTTCCTGAAAAATATTTTCATCTTTCAAACCTTCCATTGAGTTTTACATATTTGCAATAACATTTTTAAGTACCAGGAGTAATATTTGGTCCTCTGAATATTATTGTTGTGGCTTTCTATTTTGTTTAATAAAATAATATATTCTTATCACAGTGAGAATATTATTTGCAGTTTTAAAATATTTTTCCCTGCATATTCTTTGTGTCCAAAATACTCTTTTCTCTGTTTTTGCTTGTCCTTTATATTGAATGTTTCCCAAATTTCTAATGATATATGGCTACATTTCCTTCAAAAGTGGACACTGAAAATCTTCACAGAAGCTCTGTGCATGAGTGGGATTTGTTCACTGCAGTTTTCACATTAGAGTCATCTGCTAGGGCCATTTCCTTAAGGGATCAATAATATAAATACATTTAAAGTAGTGTTGTCTTGGAGTAGTCAGTTTTCTCAGAAAAGATGATTTCCAAATCGTGCCAGGATAATATGTTCCTAGATGCCAAGTTTCTAGGAACTGAATGGGGAAAAAAGATGAATGCATAATTTAATATGGAAATTTTCACTTAACCCACTAGTTTTCAGTATGAAACTACTGTGTTCTATTCTGCTTTGAGTCCCCAAATTCAGAAAATCTGTTTTATTCTTTTCAGTAAATAAACTGTTAGTGTTCTACTGAGGAGGGGAGGAGTGTTTGTTGGGAAGAGAAAGTTGCCAGGTTAATTGAGAATCGGAGATCTGGGGATGTAATTGCTTCTTCTAATTTTTTTTTTTTTTTGCCATTTTGTTAAATTTTATTTTAAAAATATTTAGAATCAATGTACTTTACTAAGATTTACATTGTCAAAATAGTGCTGTTTAGGGATCACTATAAAACATCTATTAACTTTCCAAAGTCAAAATGAAACAATTATACAAAAATTAGTAAGATAAAAAATCTACAGGTAAAACTTCTACATTGAAAATTATAATTTAATTTTTAATTTTTTATTTATTTAGCTTTTAGGTTCAAGAATACACGTGCAGGTTTGTTACATAGGTAAATTGTTTGTCATGGGTGTTTGTTGTACAGATTATTTCATCACTCAGGTAATATGCATAGTACTGTATAGGTTGTTTTTCAGTCTTCCCCTCCTGCCACCCTCCACCTTTAAGCAGACCCCAGGGTCTGTCATTCCCTACTTTGTATCCGTGTGTACTCAATATTTAGCTGCCACTTATAAATGAGAACATATGGTATTTGGTTTTCTGTTCCTGCATCAATTTGCTTAGAATAACAGCCTCTAGCTCCATCCGTGTTGTTGCAAATGACATGATCTCATTTCTTTTTATGTCTGCATATTATTCTATTGGGTATATGTACCACATATTCTTTATTCAGTCTACCATTAATGGGCATTTAGGTTGATTCTATGTCTTCGCTCTTGTGATTTGCTTCTTCTAATTAATCCATCTGTTTTTAAACTGAACTTTCTTAAGTCTGAATGGTATCTGGTGACACCAATTCTCAAGCCTTTTCAGGATTTGCTAATGAAAATGGGTTGTTTTTAAGTGTTTCCCTCTGCAAGTTTAGGATTTAGCTTACTTGCTCTGTGAAAACAGTTACTGCTTTTGTGCATCCTTCTGCTTTTGTGTAAAATGTTTCTTCTGCTACCTCCGATCCCATTCTCTGTGCTATTGTTGGATTTACAACTTAAACAAATCTCTTTACTATCTTTGGGTAACTTGTCAGAATTTCATTAACAAAGTCTCATTCTTAGCTTTAACATAAAAATTGGAAAATATTGGATTGAGGATTATTTTGAACCACAATTAAAATGATAAATTATATCACACTTTACAGTGTGATTTTTCAGGCATATTCTATGTTGCTGATATTGATAACAATTTCAGTTTTTAGGAAGCACCAACTAATAAGTTATTTTATTAATATGCTGCAGATACTCTGCTTTATACTGGAGTCTATTGGAAGAAAAACTCCCAAAGATATTTGTTATCTTAGTTTTAAGGCAGAAGTGTCACATTAATATTATTAACTTGAAACTCAAATTAATTATGACAAATTTGGATTCCAAAAACTCTGGCTTGTTTTGTGAGCATTGATATTACTGTGTGGGTTACGATTCATTAACAATTTGTTACAGAAATAATGGAAAGAACATTTTAAGAAGGGATAACACTTCAAAACATGTTGCTTTATTTGAGAGAGAGTAAAGCCTAGAAGATGATGTATAAAAGTAGGAATAAACATCATGAATTTTATAGTTTTGAATACCCTGATTCTATAATTAATGATTATTTGGCATATTTCTCTCTATTTTGTTTATTGAGGTTTTATTTACATATAAAATTTATTAGTTTTAAGTGAATTATTTGAGGACATTTTATAATTTTATACAATCATGTAACCTTCACCATAATCAATATATACAATTTTTATTTCACCATAAGAAGTTTCCTTTTGCCCTTTCACATTTAATAGCCTCTCCCATTTTTGACTCTATACAAGCAGTGATGGGCTTTCTGTTATAATAATTTTTGCCTTTTCTAGAATTTCATTAATAGAAGCATGCTATGCTTAGTCTTGTATTTAACTTCTTTTTTGAGATTATATATGTTGTATGTATCTACATTTTCATTTTTTCTGCATAGTAATATATGGTATTGATATATCACATATTTCTTTCCTATTCTCTGATTGATGTTTGTGTTGCTTTTAGATTTTGTCATTCTAGAGACTGAGTATTGGTTTCTTATTGTGGTTTTAATTTGTATTTCTCAAAATGTTACTGACCATCTTTTCATCAGCTCATTGGCTGTCTTATTTTGAAGGGCCTATTAAAATTATTTTGACTATTTTGTATTGAGTTTTTTCTCTTCTTACTGAGTTGTAGGTTTCTTTATACATTTTGATATAAGCACTTTATCACACATATAATTTGCAAACATTTTACTTCCAGTCTGTAGTTGAAGTTTTCTTGAAATTCAAAGTCATTTTAATACTAGTGATATACATTTCATCAACTTTGATCAACCTAGTTATTTTATAATTTGTGCTTTTGCTGTCAACTTTAAGAAATTTTTGCTTACTCCAATGATACTTTATTGATTTCTATTACTAGCAAAAACTTAGGGTCTTAAGCCAACACAAATATATTATCTTACAGGTTTGTAGGTCAGAAATCTGACACACATTTCACTGAATTAAAACCACGATGTTGATAGGAATCTTTTTCTTTTTAGAGGCTGTACGGTAGAATTTGTTTCCTTGCTTTATTCAGCTTCTTCAGGCTGCCCATATTCCTTTGCGCATGGCTTCTTTTTGGATCTTCAAAGATAGCAATGCAATCTCTCTGATCATACTTTCATAGTCACATCTCCCCCTGACGTTGACATCAACTGGGAAAGTTCTTTGCTTTTAAGGACTCATTTAATTAGTTTTGGCTCACTTGGGTAATCCAGGAGGATCTCCTTATCTCTAGTACATAAGCTTAATTACAACTTCATAGTGCATTTGGCCATTTTAAACTAGCATATTATCGGGTCCAGAAATGAGGATTTAAACATCTTTTGGGGGGGATCAGGGAGGTGGATTAGTCTGCCTATCACGGTCAGAAAATTTTTCTTCTGTTTTCTTTGTGAAGTTTAATAAATTTAGTTGTTTTAAGTTAAGGTATTTGAGTAACTTTCAATTAATGTTTATTTATGGTGTGAGATAAAAGTAGAGGTTAATTTTTGTCCATATAGTTATCTAGTTGTTCCAACAATATTTCTTGAAAAGACTACTTACTTTTCACTGAATTACCTTTATTGAGAATCAATTGAACATATCAGTTTGAGTCTATTTATGGACTCTATTCTGGTCTATTGATCTATGTTGACTCTTATGTCATTTAATTTTACACTCTCTTGATTGGTGTGGCTTTATAGTAAGTCTTAAACAAGAGATTGTGTAGTTTTATCTATTCTTAACAGCTTTATTGAGGTGTAATTCATATACAATAAAATGCACTCATTTTAGACATAAAATTCAATGATTTTTGATAAATTAGCTATTGTAGATCATTTATCTTTCCATATATATTTTTGAACGAGCTTGTTAATTTATTTAAAAAGCCCAATAGTGTTCTGATTGGTATTAAAAGTCTCTATAGATCAATTTGGATAAATATCATTTTAATAATATTAAGTCTTCCAATCCATGAGCACATCTGTTTAGCTGTTTAGATGTTCTTTAATTTACTTTTGCAATGTTTTGTAGTTTACAGTGTATATTTTTATTAAAATTTATTTCTAATTATTTCATTTTAATACTATGTTTTCATAATTTTAATTTTTATTATAGATTAAAGGGTACTCATGCAGGTTTGTTACATGGGTAAAGTGTGTGACACTGAGGCTTGAGGTACCAATGATCCTATTGCCCCAGAAGTAAGCATAGTACCCAACAGGTGGGTCTTAGTCCCATAATCCCCCCTTCCCTTCCCTATCTAGAGGTCCCCAGTGTCTATTGTTCCTATCTTTACATTGATGTGTATTCAATGTTTAGCTCCAATTTATAAGAACCTACAGTATTTGGTTTTCTGATCTTGTGTTAGTTCACTTAGGATAATGGCCTCCAGCTCCATCCATGTTACTGCAAAGGCCATGATTTCATTATTTTTTATGGCCATGTAGTATTCCATGGTGTATATGAAGCACATTTTCTTTATTCAATCCAGCACTGATTGGCATCTAGGTTGATTTCATATCCTTGCTATTGTGAATAGTGCTGCAATGAACATGTGAGTGCATGTGTCTTTTCGATAGGATGAGTTATTTTCTTTGAATGTATGCCCTGTAGTAGGATGGCTGTGTCAAACCATAGTTCTATTTTAAGTTCTTTGAGAAATCACCAAACTGCTTTCCACAGTGGTTGAACTACTTTGCATTCCCATCAGCAGTGTATAAGCATTCCCTTTTCTCTGTAGCCTCATCAGTATCATGTTTGATGCTTTTTTGAAAGGAGTTTTAAATTATGGTTTCTAATTGTTTATTAATATTTAAATGTGGAGTTGATTTTTATATTGGCCTTTTAGAATACCAACTTGTTAAATCAATGTATTGGTTCTAGTAGATATCTGTGAATTCCCATACAATCAAATTTTTTCAAATAATGGAAGTGTTTCTACCTCCCAATCCAATCAGGGCATTCTTTATTTCTTTCTCTTGCACTGGTTAGGATATCCAGTACAATGTTAAAGGTATTCAGAGAGGATATCCTTGATATTTTATTGAACTTAGGTAGAAAATATTGACACTTTAATCACTGAGTATCATGCTACTTGTAGATTTTTCATACAAATACTTAATCAATTTGGGAAAGTCCCCATCTATTTGTAGTTGGCTGAGAAATTTTTATCATAAAAAAGAGATGAATTTTGTCAAATACTTTTTGTGCATCTTCTGAAATGGTAATACGATATTTTCCTTAATTCTATCAATGTGATGTATCTCCTTGAGTGTTTTTCAAATGTGAAACCAACCTTACATTCTCAAGATAAATCCCACATGACCGTGATGTAGTGCTATTTTTAAAATTATTACTGGATTTGATTTGATACTATTTAATTTTTTGTATCCATGTTCACAAGGGATATTGGTCTGTAGTTTTCTTATGATGTTTTCAACTGGTTTTAGAAACAAGGTAATGCTGCCTTCATAAAATGAGGTGAGAAATGTTTCTTGATTTTCTATGTTCTGAAAGGGTTTAACTATGATCGATATTATGTCTTCCTTAAATATTTGATAAACTTCACCAGTGAAACCATCAGAACACAAATTTATATTGAAAATATTTTTAATAAAATTTGATTTTATTAATTGATGTAAGGCTTAAAAGTGGAGGCAGACTTGATAATTTGTGTCTCTCAATTATTTCTTCCATTTAATGTAGGTTGTCAAAATTATCTGCATAAACTTATTCATAATAAGTCCTTTTCAATGTCTGAAAGTCTGTAGTGATATGCCACCCTTCATTTCTTATATTGGTTGATTAAATTTTCATTCTGCTTTTCCTGAAGTTACTAACAAGTATTTTGAACACTTTTACTGATTTTTCAAAAAAATCCCCCTGGGTACATAACTCTATTGGCCTGAGAACCACCCTCCCAACACCCACAGTGGCTGCCTCAAGCCCCACCAAAGGAGAGTCTGAGCTCCGACCTGCCTAACCCTGGCCCCACCTAATGGATTTTTTCTACTGGCCCTGTTAAGCAAAGACAAAAGATATAAGCTCTTGGGAGCTGTAGGGCCCCACCTATCACCTGAGTACTTACTGTTCAAAATAGGGCATGCTTACCTCTATCTTCTACTACCGCAGCTGGTGCTCTCTTAAAAGTGCCACCTCCTGGCTGGAGGCCAACCAACTCAAGCCATTACAGAAACTCATAACAGAACAATCCTGTTCCAAAGGAGAAAATAACAGATAATTCCACCACCTGCAACACCATGGCTAATCAGAGGTCCTTTATCTGTCCACCTGACAAATTCACTGCTAGCATAACCAGCATTCAAAAAAACCAATGCACTAAACAAAACTTCAATCAAGGACTCCTACAGAATCCTCTTCACTGCCCTGCCACCTCCATCAGAGCAGGTGCTATTATCCATGGCTGGGAGACCTGTAGACAAATCATATCACAGGACTCTTTGCAGACATTCCCCAACACCAGCCCAGAGGCCAGTAGTCCCTCTGAGTAGGTAGACCCAGAAGGGCAATAACAATCACCACAGTCTGGCTCTCAGTTTCCCCACTTCTAGGGGAAGGGGGAGAGCACCACATCAAGGGATCACCCCATGGAACCAAAGAATCTGAACAGCAGCTCTTGAGTTCCAGATATTTCCACTGAAACAATCAACCCAAATGAGAAGAAAAAAGAAAAAAAGAAAAATAATTCTGGTAATATGACAAAACTGGGTTCTATAACATCCCCAAAAGATCAAAATAGCTATCAGCAATGGATCCAAACAAAAGAAGAAATCTCTGAATCGCCAGATAAAAAACTCAGAATGTTGATTATTAGGACTACTCAAGGAGGTACCAAAGAAAGGTACAAACCAACTTAAATAAAATTTTAAAAAATACAAGATATTAATTTAAAAAGTCTCCAGAGAAATAAATATCATAAAGACAATCAACTTCCAGAAATGAAAGACAAACCTAGAAATATGCAAAATACACTGGAAAGTTTCAACAATAGAATCAAATAAGTATAATAAAGAGCTTCAGCACTAAAAGACAAGGGCTGAATTAACACAATCTGACAATGACAAAGATAAAAGAATTTAAAAAAATGAACACAGCCTCGAAGAAATTTGGTATTATGTTAAAAGACTGAATATAAGAATAATTGGTGTTGTTGAGGAAGAAGAGAAATCTAAACATTTGGAAGTTTTATTTGAGAAAATAATCCAGAAAAAACTCCCTGATCTTGCAAGAGATCTAGATATCCAAATACAAGAAGCTCAAAGAACACCCGGGAAATTCATTGCAAAAAAATCATCACCTAGGCACATAGTCATCAGGTTATCTAAAGTGAAGACAAGGAAAAGAATCTTAAGAGATGTGATGCAAAAGCATCAGGTGATGTATAAAGAAAAGCCTTTCCGATTAACGGCAGATTTTTTAGCAGAAATCCTAAACACCAGAAGGGATTAGGGTTCTATCCTTAGCCACCTTAAACAAAATAATTATCAGCCAAGAATTTTGTATCCAGCAAAACTAAGCCTCATAAATAAAGGAGAGATAATGTATTTTTCAGAAAAACACATGCTGAGAGAATTTGCCACTACCATGCCAGTGAGGGAGAATGGAAAGGAAAAATCAGTTAGGCAGACAGTTAAGGCCAGCCCTTGGAGAAGCAGCCTGCCTTAAAAATCACAACTACAAGCAAAAAATAGAACAGCCTGGAGAAAACTTAGACTACAGCTGCACAGATAAGTGGGCACCCAGCATAGAAGCCTTTTGTTCTTTGTGTGATTAGAGAGCTCCCAGGAAAAGTTTCTTCTCCATGTCAGGCATGTACATGATGGGCTCTGTGGGAGTTTGCACAGAGATGGAGAGGCTTACCTAAAACAAACCCACTGTTATACAAACAAGGGAAGCTGTGCTTTGTGTGCCCGCAACTACAAAGATAAGGAGAGTTACACAGACAGCTTTACAGATAAGAGAATTTACTCAAAGTGCTACAGAGATGAAAGGAGTTTCATATAAAAGCTTTTGAAGTCAACTGTAAAAATGGCAACCCACGTGTGCTACCCTCACCACTACAGAGAGCTTTCTACTTTTGCTTATTAAACTTTTGCTGAACCTCACCCTTTGTGTCCATACTCCTTAAGTTTCTTGGCAGTGAGACAATAAGCTCAGATAACACCTCAGACAATGATACCATGGACCATCTACCTGTTTAATTAGCACTACTAGAAATGCGAAAAGGGATTCTAAATCTTGAAACAAAATGAATACACAAAAATAGAACCTCCTTAAACCATAAATCTCACAGGGCCTATAAAACAATAACACAATAAAAGTTATTCAGGCAACAACTAGCATAATATATAGAACGGTACATCACATCTCAATATTTTTTTTTTGAGGCGGAGTCTCGCTCTGTTGCCCAGGCTGGAGTACCGTGGCACTATCTCGGCTCACTGCAAGCTCCGCCTCCTGGGTTCACGCCATTCTCCTGCCTCAGACTCCCGTGTGGCTGGGACTACACGCACCCGCCACCAGGCCTGGCTAATTTTTTTGTATTTTTAGTAGAGACGGGGTTTCACCGTGTTAGCCAGGATGGTCTTGATCTCCTGACCTCATGATCCTCCCGCCTTGGCCTCCCAAAGTGCTGGGATTACAGGCATGAGCCACCGTGCCCGGCCACATCTCAATATTAATGTTGAATATTAATAACCTAAATGATCTCACATAAAATTTACAGAATGACGGAATGGATAAAAATTCACCAACCAACCAAGTATCTTCAGTCTTCAAGAGACTCACTTAACACATTAAATTCTGTTCACATAAATGTAAGGTGAAGAGGAGGAAAAAGACCTTCTATACAAATGGAAAACAAAAGCGAGCAGAAGTAGGCATTCTCATATCAAGCAAAACAGAATTTAAAGCAACAACAGTTAAAAAAGACAAAGACGCAGGGCACGGTGGCTCACGCCTGTAATCCCAACACTTTGGGAGGCCGAGGCGGGCGGATCACAAGGTCAGGAGATCCAGACCATCCTGGCTAACACGGTGAAACCCTGTCTCTACTAAAAAAAGTACAAAAAATTAGCCGGGCGTGGTGGCGGGTGCCTGTAGTCCCAGCTACTCAGGAGGCTGAGGCAGGAGAATGGTGTGAACCCGGGAGGCGGAGTTGCAGTGAGCCGAGATCATGCCATTGCACTCCAGCCTGGGTGACACAGTGAGACTCTGTCTCAAAAAAAAAAAAAAAAAAAAAAAGACAAATAGGGACATTATATAATGATAAAAAGATTAGTCCATCAGGAAAATACCACATTCCTACATATATATATATATTTGCAGATCCCAAATTTATAAAACAATTACTACTAGACTTAGGAAATGAGATTGATGGCAACATAATAACTGTGGGAGACTTCAATACTTCACTGACAGCACTACAAAGATCATCACGACAGCCAACATAGAAACAATGAACTTAAACTATGCGCTACAACAAATGGACTTTACAGGTATTTATAGAACACTCTACCCAACAACTGCAGAATATACATTTTTTTATCAGCAATTGGGACATTATTTTTATGAGCACATAGAACATTCTCCAAGATAGACCATAGGATAGGCAACAAAACAAGTCTCAATAAATTTAAGAAAATAAAAATTATATCAAGTACTATCTTAAACCATAGTGGAATAAAATTGGAAATTAACTCCAAAAGGAACCCTCAAAAAAATACATGGAAATTAAGCAAACTGCTCCTGAATAATCTTCGGGTCAACAATGAAATCAAGACAGAAATTAAGAAATTATTTTAACTGAATGATAATAGTGACACAACCTATCAAAACTTCTGGGACACAGCAAAAGTAGTACTAAGAGTAAAGTTCATAGCATTAAACGCCTACTTCAAAAAGGCTGAAAGAGCACAAATGGACAATCTAATTTCAAACCTCAAGGAACTGGAGAAACAAGAACAACTCAAACCCACATTGAACAGAAAAAAAGAAATAACAAAGATGAGAGCAGAACTAAATAAAATTGAAACAAAAAATATAAAACATAAATGAAACAAAAAGCTGATTCTTTGAAAATATTTTAAAGAGAAGTGATATTCTATTGGAGAGATTAAGAAAGAACCAAAGAATATCTGAGTAAGCTAAATTAGAAACAAAATGAGAGATATTATAACTGATAACACAGAAATACAAAAGATCATTCAAGGCCACGAAAAACACCTTTATGTGCACAAACTAGCAAACCTAGATGAGATGCATACTTTCTTGGAAATATACAACCCTTCTCGATTAAACTAGGAAGAAATAGAAACTCTGAACAGACCAATAACCAGCAGCATGATTGAAACCGTAATTAAAAAAAAAATTGTCAATAAAAGAAGTTTAAGACCACATTGATTCACAGCTGAATTCTGACATTCAAAGAAGAATTGGTGCAAATCCTACTGAAATTATTCCAAAAGATAGAGAATCCTCCCTAAATCGTTTTACAAAGCCAGTGTTACCCTAATTCCAAAACCAGGAAAGGACATAACAAAAAAGAAAACTTCAGACCAATATCCCTGATGAACATAGATGCAAAAGTTCTCAACAAAATACTAGCTAACCAAATCTAACTGCATATCAAAAAGATAATACACCATGATTAAATGAGTTTCATACCAGAAATGCAGGACTGGTTTAACATGTATAAGTAAAAAATGTTATACACCACATAAACAGAATTAAAAACAAAAAATATATAATCATCTCAATAGACGCAGTGTAAGCATTTGACAAAATCCAGCATCCCTTTATGTTTAAAACCCTCAGCAAAATTGGCATACAGGTAACATACCTTAAGGTAATAAAAGCCAACTATGACAAACCCACAGCCAATGATATACTGAATGGGGGAAAAGTTGAAAGCATTCCCCCTGAGAACTGGAACAAGACAAAGATACCCACTTTCACCACTTCTATTTAACATAGTACTGGAAGTCCTAGCCAGAGAAATCAGATAAGTGAAAGAAATAAAGGCCATCCAAATTGGTAAAGAGGAAGTCAAAAAGTCACTGTTAACAAATGATAGGGTTGTATACCTAGAAAACCTTAATGACTCCTCCAAAAAGCTCCTAGATCTGATAAATAAATTGAGTAAAGTTTCAGGATACAAAATCCATATACGAAAATTAGTGGCACTGCCATACACTAACGGTGAATAACCTGATAATCAAATCAAGAATTCAACCTCTTTTATAACAGCTGCAAAGAAAAATAAAATAATTAGGAATATACCTAATCAAGGAGGCAAAAGACTCTACAAGGAAAACTACAAAACACAGCTGAAAGAAATCATAGACAACACAAACAAATAGAAACACATTTCATGCTCGTGGATGGGTAGAATCAATATTCTGCAAATGAACATACTGCCAAAAGAAATCTATAAATTCAATGTAATTCTCAGTAAAGTACCATCATCATTCTTCACAGGACTAGAAAAAACCATCCTAAAATTCATATGGAACCAAAAAAAAGAGCCCACATAGTCAAAACAATACTAAGCAAAAATAACAAATCTGGAGGTATCACATTACCCAACTTCAAACTATACTACAAGGCTATAATTGCCAAAACAGCATGGTACTGATATAAAAACCAGCATATAGACTAATGGAATAGAATAGAGAACACAGAAAGAAAACAATATACTTGTAGCCAACTGAACTTTGACAAAGCAAACAAAATCATAAATTAGGCAAAGGACACCCTATTCAACAAATGGTGCCGGGATATTTGGCAAGCCACATGTAGGTGAAAGAAAGAAACTGAATCCTTATTTCTCACTTTATACAAAATCCAACTCAAGATGGATCAAAGACTGAAATGTAAGACCTGAAACCATAAAAATTTTACAAGATAAAACTGGAAAAACTCTTCTAGACATTGGCTTAGGCATAGTTCATGACCTAGAACCCAAAAGCAAAAGTAACAAATACATAAGTGGAACTTAATTAAACTAAAAACTTCTGCACAGCAAAAGAAATAACGAGCAGAGTAAAATGACAACCCACAGAGTGGGAGAAAATATTTGCAAACTATGCATCCAGCAAAGGACCAATATCCAGAATGTACAAGGAACTCAAACAAATCAACAAGAACAAAACAAATAATCTCATCAAAAAGTAGCCTAAGGGCATGAATAGACAATTCCCAAAAGAAGATATACAAGTGGCCAACAAACATATAAAAAATTCTCAACATCACTAATTATTAAGGATAGACAAATCAAAATCACAATGCGATACCACCTTACTCCTGCAAGAATGGCCATAATTTAAAAAACAAAAATATAATAGATGTTGGCGTGGATGTGGTGAAAAGAGAACACTTTTACATTGCTGGTGGAAATGTAAACTAATACAACCACTGTGGAAAACAGTATGATGATTCCTTAAAGAACTAAAAAAGAACTAACATTTGATCCAGCAATCCCACTACTGGGTATCTACGTAGAGGAAAAAAGTCATTATATGAAAAGGATACTTGCACATGCCTGTTTATAGCAGCACAATTTGCAATTGCAAAAATATGGAACCACCCTCAATGTCCATCAACCAATGAGTTGATAAAAAAAGTGAGATATATATATATATGTGTGTGTATATATATATGTATATATGTATGTATATATGTATGTATGTATATATGTATATATGTATATATGTATATATGTATATATATGTATATATGTATGTATATGTATATATGTATATATATGTATATATGTATATATGTATATATATACACACACACATACATACATACACACACACACACACACACACTGTATGGAATACTACTCAGCCATAAAAAATAATGAAATAAATACATTCACAGGAAACTGGATGGAGTTAGAGACCATTATTCTAAGTGAAATAACTCAGGAATGGAAAACCAAACATTACATGTTCTCACTTATCAGTAGAAGCTAAACTATGAGGATGCAAAGGCATATACAAATGACACAATGGGCTCATGGGGAATGATGAGAGAGGGTGAGGGATAAAAGTCTACACACTGAGTACAGTGTACACTGCCTGGGTAATGAGTGCACCAAAATCTCAGAAATCACCACTAAATAACTTATCCATGTAACCAAACAACACCCGTTACCCCAAAACTATTGAAATAATAAAAAAAGAATAAATGAAGATTTTTATCTTTTAGCAAATCCTATATAAACAAATATTAAAATAAAATTTGACTTTAAAGTAGCTACTTATCACTTAGTGCTAAAAAACAAATAAAATGAGCAATACATTAAAATTTTTATAAATAACATAAAACATGATAAATGACATATGGCAAAATAATTAGTAAAATTAATTCTTACTGAACTAAAATAAAAAATTGACAAATAAGCACAATATATTATTTTATTTTATTTAAATATTGTAGTTTAATCTGCTTCAGATCTGTTTTGGAAACATGAAATACATAAAATACAAATATATTGACTTATTTTAATTATTTCTAATATCCAGTGAATAAGAATTTTAAATATATTTTAATTGTAGCATCAAGTTTTTAGTTCTATTACTCCATTACTTTTCCACCAACCCTATATTTTATAAAGTTAAAAACTGAGTGCATTTTAGTGAAGGACAGATTCAAAATTTAATTTTCGTCTCCGAGTGGTCAAATACGTGTTACTTAATTTTACTGAGACAAATTCTCCTGACTGATTGTTAATATTGTCAGGTTTATATGCTGCTTTATCAACTCTCTATAGGCATAATACATTCAAGTGAACAGATACCTTCTTGGTCAAATATTTGAAAATACTATACAAACTGTGCAAGTTGTGGAGAGGGGGAGAAAGTTTAGTTATATTGTATGTTTGAAAAATACAATACTTTCTGTTCTCACTGTTAAATAGTCATACTAACAAATTCAAGATTATTTAAATTGTATCAATTCTAGATTTTTACTTAGTTATTTGAAGAATTGGGTTTTACAATAATAAGGTAAATAAATGGATCCTTGATTCCTCAAAAATATTTTAAAAGGCTAAATTATCAACTTAAATTGTATTTTTATTAAATATATTTATACACAATGTTAAATTTAAAGAATGCAAATGATTGGTCTGAAAAAATATTTGGATTCACTTGAAATATGTAAGTGAAAAATGTCTAATTATTTAATAGCTATATATGATAAAGCTAATAAGTTCAGTATATCTTCCACTTTCTAACTTAAAAGTTTCACTTAGACACCTGAGATGTCCTAATGCTATTGTATTGCTAGGGTGTATACGATATTAAACAGAAGATTTATGTTAACTTTTAACTCGATCAGGAGATACAAATGGAAGTGTTCATAAAACTTAAAAATGAAATTAAAGAAGTTCATTTGCATATACCGTAAAACTAAGTTTTCATCAGGTCGTACGACGTCAAGGTTAGTATTCTAGCTGCATTCTGATGAACTAACTAGGTGATTCAAACATATTAATCAAGTAAATCCTGATTTAAATAGGTGGGCCTTGCATTCATATATGATGGCCAAAACCCTAGGATGTTATTTAACTCTTTGAAGAAGGAAAGAATGATGTTCTATAGAAAACAGTGCTTGTTCTCTGAATCTCAACATTAGTTCATTTTAATTTGTGCCAGTATGTATTGTATGAAAGTTAAATTGCAGCTATTAGATTTGAATGACTTTAAAATATGCCACCCAAATTTCTGTAGAAAGAAAACATAATTGGCTTCAGCTGTGATTGTTGCTTTATGTCAGTAGGTTGGACATGTGTATGTTGAGGATGTGTGTGTGTGTTTATGGGGGTGCATTATGCTAACCTGGTTTGGTGCTGCTAAAGTTCTATTTCATTAAAACGATGTTATCTTTTAGGAGGACTTCTTCCGTGGAAAATATTATGCTCAATAATGGCTTCTTCTGAAACTACAGAATCTGAGGAAAGACAAGTGATTTTATTAAATGCAATACATTTGGTTTGTAGTTATTGCTGTAAATTTGACCTTCAATTCACAAATATTAACTCATTAATAAAATACACAAAAATTGTGAGAGTATTTTAAATCATACATAATGCACAATCTGGATTGAAAAGAATAGGACACAAATGATTTTTCTTCCTTCTGCCTTCTGATTTTGGTTTTCTTATCTTTATTGACACACATTGATAATTATTTAATATCTGATGCAGTTCTCAGCTAGTATACATATTACTTAATCTCATGAACAAACACTTTATTTTATATTCCTGTCTTCTTTCATCTTTCTCAGGATTGTTGTGAGGAACATATAAAATAATGAAAGTTAAATAAGTATCATAGTTTCTGGCACAGAATATTGTGAGGAACATATAAAATAATGAAAGTTAAATAAGTATCATAGTTTCTGGCACAGAATAATCTATTAAGAAATGGTATACATTTGACCCAGCAATCCCATTACTAGGTATATACCCAAAGGAATATAAATGATTCTATTCAAAGATACATGCACACATATGTTCACTGCAACACTATTCACAATAGCAAAGACATGGAATCAATCCAAATGCCCATCAATGATACACTGGATAAGGAAAATGTGGAACACTATGCATCCATAAAAAGGGAAAAGACCATGTTCTTTACAGGGATATGGATGGAGCTGGATGCCATTATCCTTAGTAAACAATCGCAGGAAAGGAAAACCAATGTTGTCACTTATAAGTGGAAGCTTAACAATAAGAACACATGGACACAAGGAGGGAATAACACACACTTGGGCTTGTTGGGGGGTGGAATGTGGAGATGGAGAACATTTGGAAAAATAGCTAATGCATGCTGGGCTTAATACCTAGATGATGGGTTGATAGGTGCAGCAAACAACCATGACACGCAAACCTGTACATACTGAACATCCTATGTAACAAACCTGAACATCCTGAACATGTACCCTGGAACGTAAAATAAAAATTAAAATTAATAAAAGAAGTGGCATATACTATTATTAAATTCTCCCTCCCCTACTCCTTCTTTTCATTCCTGTATATGAATGTTTATTAACTACCTGCTCCATGCATGTCACTGTATTAACCTGTGGACCATGCAAAGATGAGTAAGACATAGCTCTTAACTTCCATGGTATGTATCTCATTAATTTTTATCTATGTTTACAAAATGTTTAGTTTGGATTTCATATCAAGTGTATTCTAAATGAAGATCATATCTCCTAAGAATAACTTTTTTTAAAGTGTGTTTTTCATTTCTCTTGTAATTTTAGTAATATGAAGAGAGAGGAAATACATTGGTAAGTGAGCACAGCGTTGACAAGTATGAAGCACTCTCTCCTTCCCAAACTATTTCTGGGCATTGATTCTTAATTAAGAGCTCTTTTTAATGAAGCATAGAATGGGCTTACAGCTGTTCTCAGAGCAAATCTTTAAGGAGTAGCTATGCTTCAATAAAGCTAATACATCTCATTAGGATTTTTTTTTTTTTTGCAAAACCTTCATAATATTCTCTATTCCCTGAATCCCTGAGAAACTGGGGGCAATGAAAAATATAGTATAGATCATTTTGCTATTAATTCAGTGATGATTTTAGAGCTAGCTATTCAGCCATGGGGAACTTTCTTAAATCCAGTAAAATTCACTGATGTATTCAAAAATTATCTTCTAGGAGAAGTGTAAGTCTGCAATTTTTGCCCAGATTTCCATACAAACTTGAAAGATGGGTTAATATAAAGCAATACTTACATAGCACTTCTACATCATTGTAAAGCACATATGCATATATAAAAACCAAATATGGCCAGGCACGGTGGCTCATGACTATAATCCCAGCACTTTGGGAGGCCAAGGTGGGAGGATTGCTTGAGGCTAAGAGACTTGCAGACCAGCCTAAACAACATAGCAAGACATTGTCTCTACTAAAAATAATAATAAAAAATAAAACCAGCTGGGATTTGTGGCACATGCCTGTAGTCTAAGCTACTCTGAATGCTGTGACGGGAGAATTGCTTGAGCCCAGAAGGTTGAGGCTGCAGTGCGCCATGATCATGCCACTGCACTGCAGTCTGGGCAACAGAACAAAACCTTGCCTCAAAAAAGAAAAAATATATATATAATTATTGTGAATCATTACTGACTTTGCAGTACATTTAACTGGCTGTGAATTGCCTCAGATGTTCAGCAAAATTCACTTATTAGAGAAGCTCCAAAATAGTCTTTTGAACATAAATGCCACATTTGCTTGTTGGTAGTCTTGTAAACAAATCTAAAAAGCAAATATAAAATATCTTAATATACACATCCTACTCCGGGCCATTTTTGGGTTAACATTTTTTTTAATGAGGAAGTTGAAGACGTTTTTGGGTAGATTATCCTGCCTGCTTTCTTCTTCATGAAAGTTCTTAGTTGATATTGGGTATATGCGTATGTTAGACACTGGTGCTCTTATTTTAGCTTTAAGGAAGCTGCAGAGTTAGAGATCCAATAATTTTTTTTAGTCTAGGTTTGTTATTGTTTTTGGAGGCAACTTTGGCCTTAAAACCTCCTAACCCACTAAATGGAAAGATAAGATTGTTTGGAGATTGATGCAAAAGTAATTGCGATATTTGCATTGTTGAATTTTGCCATTTGATATTGGAATACAATCTTAAATAAATTTGGTTATATTATACACCATTTTAATGCGCATTTCTCATTTTATTTTTCTGCTAATGACTTATTACTTGCTATTTATTTTAGACTATGAAAATGATGTTAGACAAAAAGCAAATTCAAGGCTGTATGCTGTGGCTCACACCTATAATCCCAGCACTTTGGAAGGCCGAGGTGTGCAGCTTATCTGAGGTCAGGAGTTCGAGACCAGCCTGGCCAACATGGCGAAACCCCGTCTCCACTAAAAATACAAAAATTAGCCAGGCATGGTGGCATGTGCCTATAATCCCAGCTACTCAGGAGGCTGAGGCACGAAAATCACTGAACCCAGGAGGAGGAGGTTGCAGTGAGCTGAGATCGCGCATTTGCGCTCCAGAGCAACAAGAGCAAAACTCTGTCTCAACAACAAAAAAAAAAGGCTGGGCATGTGGCTCACACCTATAATCCCAGCACTTTGGGAGGCTGAGATGGGTGGATCACTTGAGTCATTTGAGGTCAGGAGTTCAGGACCAGCCTGGCCAACATGGTGATACCCCATCTCTACTAAAAATACAAAAATTAGCTGGTTGTGGTGGGACATGCCTGTAATCCCAGCTACTCGGGAGGCTGAGGCAGGAGAATTTCTTGAGCCCGGGAGATGGAAGTTGGAGTGAGCCTAGAACTGGCCACTGCACTCCAGCCTGGGTGACAGAGCGAGACTGTCTCAAAAAATAAAATAAAAAAGCAAATTTGAGCAATTTTCTTATTTGAGTTCAAAATGGGTCATAAAGTAGCAGAGACAACTCACAATATAAGTGCTAAGGAGCATACAGTGCACTGGTGGTTCAAGATGTTTTGCAGGCTGGGCGGGGTGGCTCACGACTGTAATCCCAGCACTTTGGGAGGCTGAGGTGGACGGATCACATGAGGTCAGGAGTTCAAGACCAGGCTGGCCAACATGGTGAAACCCCATCTCTACTAAAAATACAAAAAAGTTAGCCGGGTGTGGTGGCACACAACTGTAATCCCAGCTACTCGGGAGGCTGAGGCAGGGGAATCGCTTGAACCCAGGAGGCGGAGGTTGCAGTGAGGCGAGGTCACGCCTCTGCACTCCAGCATGAGTGATAGAGGGAGACTCTGTCTCAAAAATAAAATAAAATAAAGATGAGAGCCTTGAAGTTTAGGAGCGTAGTGTCTGGCCATCGGAAGTTGACAATGACCAACTGAGAGCAATCATCTAAGTTTATCCTCTTGCAACTACACAAGACCTTGCCAAAAAACCTATCATCTACCATTCTATGATTGTTCAGCATTTGAAGCATATTGGAAAAAGTTCGATAAGTGGGTGCCACATGAGCTGAGCAAAAATAAAAAAAAAATTTTGAAGTGTTGTCTTCTCTTATTTTATGCAACAATGAACCATTTCTCAAACTGATTGTGATGTAGGAAGAAAAGTGGATTTTGTACGACAACCATCAACGACCAGCTCAGTGGTTAGATTGAGAAGAAGCTTCCAATCCCTTCCCAAAGCCAAATTTGCACCAAAAAAAAAAAAAAAAAAAAAAAGTCGTGGTCACTGTTTCATGGTCTGCTGCCGATCTTATCCACTACAGCTTTCTGAATCCCACTGAAACCATTATATCTGAGAAGTATGTTCAACAAATCAATGAGATGCATGGAAAATAGCAATGCCTGCAGCTGGCATTGGTCAACAGAACCGGCCCAATTCTTCATGGCAATGCCTGATTGCACGTTGCCTGACCAATGCTTTGAAAATTGAACAAATTGGGCTACAAAGTTTTGCCTCATCTGCCATATTCACCTGACCTCTTACCAACTGAATACAACTTCTTCCAGTATCTCCACAATGTTTTGCCTAGAAAATGCTTCCACAAACAGCAGGATGCAGAAAATGCTTTCCAGGCATTCATCAAATTCTGAAGCATGGATTTTTATGCTATAGTAGTAAGCAAACTTATTTCTTGTTGGCAAAAATGGACTAATTGTAATGGTTCCTATTTGGATTAATAAATATGTGTTTGAGCCTAGTTGTAATGATTTAAAATTCATGATCTAAAACTGCAATTACTTTTACACCAACCTTAAAAGAACACCAAAAAGGAAACCATTGAAAGTGTTTTAGCTTTCCTCCTGTGACACAATATAGTTATTTCACTACTGATGCATGATGCTCTTTTTCATAAACATAAACATAAAATTATAAAACAAAGTAATTACACATTTCCCCTGGGAATCATGCAAGACTTGGAAATGAGAATAAAAATGGCTAAAATGTGGGCATCAATGTAGATATCTTGTACTCTGGAGCAACAGGTAGTGGTAGCCAAGTCTAGGGTACTTTAGAAAGTATGAAACCTTTATAATGGTCAGAATTTTAATGTGAATCTGCTGGTGGTGAGCTTTCAGGCTCTACTAGACAGGTGCATGCACCTCCAATACAACTAAGGACATGTACAAGACACAAACAGGACAACAACTTGCTTTGTGAAGCAGTCCATTTGAAACAGGTTGATGTGCAATTACTACAAGACAGTATAAGAGTTCATACTTGATAAGCTATGAATGAATAGATGTGAATAAATAAAACTGGATTCTGGAGAATCTCAGCCCAATATTGTATAAATGTTTATTTTCTATCATGTGACATCTTTTGACTCTATACAGTCAGTTTTATGGGTTATCAAGGTATTTGAAGCATCTGCTATGTGTCAAAAGATTAGTCAGTAAAGATATGAAAACAACTAAGATATATTTTGTGCTCTTGGGAAGCATATACACTAGTCACTGAGAATGTGTATGTAACTGCTTTATAACATTAGGAAAAGATGAAGACATCTATTTAAAAATGTATAAAACACTGAAATCAAAGTATAGATTCATTCCAATTGTGAGGATAATAAAAAAGCTCATCAAAGAGGTATCCATTAAGTTGGATCTTTAAGGATGAGTAAAGTATTAAGAAGTGTAGACAAGGATATTTCTTTTGGATGAGGTACTTTGATAAAATGACAAAAGTATAAAACTGTATGCATAAAATGTTCCAGGAATAGTAAAAACTATAGTGTACCAGAAGAGTACTGGGCATTGAGTGGAGATGGTGGTTTGTTCAAGATAAGTCTGTAAAAGAACGTGTGTGAAGGGTAGCATAGTATACAGTTTTTTTTAGAATGCTATGATAAACAAATGTTTTCTTCTGTGTTCAGTACAAAAAAAAAGGGAATGCTAAATGGAGCAGTAATTTTGACAGACTTGTGTGTTATAAAAGAATAATTTGAAACTATTTGAAGATCGTGTTGAAGTCATAGGGTCTGGATAGAAGATCAGTCTAGAAGGCATAAGACAATGAGCGCTTGAACAAAGTCAAACTTTTCCCAGAGTCCCCTGTCCACTACATTCTCAATATGTCTGTTTTTAAAATCTATTTGTTTTCAAATGAGTCAGATTATGCAGATTCTGCTTCTGAAAATCTTTCAAACCTAAAGAAAGACTTTTAATCAGATGTTATATGTATGTCTCATTGGAATATAAGGCCGCAATAACAATGCTCATTGGAGGTTGTACAGACAAATATTTGCAAATGCTATTTACTTATAGGGTGTTTCTTATAGTTATAAATCTACAGTCTAATGAAAATTTTAATTAGAAGATTAAATAAATGCCTAGAAAATGAAACTCACCAAAACGAAACCAGTTTTTTCCTGCTCTCTTAAGAGCGTGGCTTCTTCGGTTGAGCATCTTAGTGTTGGAAGCCTGTGGTTGCAGTTTCTTTGCCTACTGGCCAAAAATAAAGTCTTAAAAATGACATATAATTTTTACAGTGAGAAAACACGCCAGACAATGCTTTAATTAAGTGACTGAATTTAACATCACCAGTATTGGGGCAAACCAACTCTATTTGCCTAATAATACCATACACTGAAAAGAACATGTAATTTATCCAGTATTCCTGCTAAAACTGCATAACTTGAATCTAATCATAAACAGCAAATAAATACAAATGCAAAAAAAGTCTACAAAATAAGCAGCCTGTAATTTTTAAAAACATCAAGGTTATGAAAACTTTCCACCTTTCCACCTCCCCTGCAAAAAAGACCGATGAACTATTCCAGATTAAAGGAGAGCAAAAGGACATTATAATTAAATGCAGTGCAACTAATATTGGATCAGGATTAATTTGTTTTCTAAAGTATATTATTGAAAATTTGAAAAATATCGTAATCATGATAATTTACACTGATGTGAGACAATTCTCTGTTTTTAGGAAATAAATGCTTAAGTATTTATAGCTAAAGAAGCATCTTGTCTTCAATTTATTTTCAGATGGTTCTGAAAATAATGTGTATGTGTATGAATAAAGACAAAAAATAAAGCAAATAGAAAATAGTTACAAATGGAGAATCTAAGGCAAGAGTAAATAGGAATTAATGCAGCTTTTCTAGGTTTGAAGCTATTTAAAAATAAAAAGTTACAAAGAGGAAAAAAAATCACATCAAGTGACACATAATGTCCTTATTCTAATGAAAATTTCAACCAAAGGTTATTGTGCTTATAAACCTTAAAGGTGTTTCACAAGTGGAATTAATTAATGACTGAATATTATTTCTCCTTCTACTAGCTTTAGTAAATTTAAGTAAGCTTATAAGCACAACAGAAATAGACCCAGCTCTATGTAATCAATGCTGGTATTTTTTTTTTCTGGTGGTATAGTAGCTTTTTCTTACAGTTCAGAAGATCATGGAAGACTGTACATAAAAAGAAAAAAATGAAATTATTAAAGATATTTTTATAAATCTTCATATCGGGTGGAACACTACAAAGGCAAAGGGAAGCGTCAATTGAGGCATATATGCATGAGACTTTAAGAAAGTGTTAGGATTGTGGAAAACTAAAAGCTAATGCTGTGTTTACAGCACAGCTGATCCTGAAGGAACCCACTCTGTTACTCTGGCCCAGCATATATCAATCAGACAGTCTTCCAACCCTTAGCTTGAAAGCTGGGGTTAGTGACTTCCAAAGAGGCAGGGCTGGCTCAATGAAGGGGATTTATATATTTCCTGTAGGCGCTTCTTTGCAAAGGGCCCACGTTTTCAAGTTTTTGGCATGAGCCATCCACTGCACAACTATCTGCCTCAAATCAAACAACCCAGAGCATTATTTAAAAATTAAAGCATTATTTTATAAACGTGTTTAAGTTACTAGAGTTCTTTCTTGTTAGCTGTGCCTGTGTACTTTTAGGGCAATCATTCTGAGCAAAAGATTTCTACAATATTAAATATTACTCACAGAGTAGACAATGCTGAAAAGATTGGCCAGAGATATTCAGGACGTGGAGGGAGGGAGAGAGAGAACTTAACTATTTATTGGCCATGATCTTCTCTCCCATTAAAAAAAATATAATCATACAGTAATTAAAGCCCTGCTATTTTAAAAATGATGTTTTAAGAGCTGTTTACTGAAAACATTAAACCAAATCTTAAGAAAAAGAAAATCAATGTCTATGAGGTATACAGATTTGTCAGGTAAATCACTGCTCTGTTTGATGAAGACCATGAAGATGAAATTATGTAAGTGATTTCACTTCATTCATAGTAGTTTAGTAGTAGTAGTAGTCATGTAACTTTATTATATTAGTAGTACAATGGGCCTGAAAAGATTTTCATGCTGATAGATTATAATACATATGACATATATATTACTGTGTGTATAACTGAGTTTTTCAAGTACTTTCCTTCTCATATAATACTGAATTGAATTTTATACAAATAGAAAGTTATAGAAACAAAATGCTATGCACTGTTTTAAATATGTAGCTTTAACTCATCCTTCAGAGATTACATGAGCACAGTCTTCTGGAAATTTATCTTGTCAAAATATATTGGAACATGTCATAAATCAATCTAATATAATAGTATGTGTACTGAAATACCATGGCTTGTGACTAAGACCATGGAAGCTGTACGATAGATGCAGTCATCATAATGGCTTTTCAATTTAAAATATTGTGTTATATTCTTGCAGAAATTTCATTTTATAAAATAAATAGCCATAAAATTGAAGATAATTATTAATAGGCATAAATTCTGGGAATTGTTGACGTGTTTCACATTCTTATTGCTTCAACATTATGACCATATCAATACATAACAAAATCTATGATAATAGAAAATGAGTTAACAGACTGAATATTTATTATTCAACATTTAGTAATAATCAATTTCATAAACCTTTATTCCAAATCTGTATTAATAGTTGGAAACAGACCTCCCAACTGGGGTCTCCAGCCACATTTTACAGGTGCCTTTGGGCCAGCAACAGGTCTGTGCTTCCCTGGGACAAAGCTCCCAGACAGAGAGACAGGCTGCCATCTTTGCCATTTTATAGCCTTCACTGGTGAGCCCTAAGCATACTGCAGCAGCCCTACAAAAAAGTGTCCAGATGGTTAGATGTACAGTCTACTCAAGAAGAGGAGGCCAGTTTGTCTCCTACAGGTCCCACACACCCCGATGGCTTATCACCAGACACGGAACCCTTGGTGTGCGCCCACAGCACAAACCCTCCATCTTAGGCTGATAGCACTGAGCAATTGCTGGCCTGCATCTCTCTGGGGTGGAGCCCCCAGGAGTCAAACAAACAACACTTGGCTACTACCACTACTAAGATCTCTTGCTCTGCTGTCTCTAAGCTGGGGAAGAAACATAAACACTGAGATCACCCAAATCTACAGTGGGCAGCCCAGGAGTGCCAAATTGTGAACTACAGCCAGCACTTAAGGGGGCACAGGAACCCACAGTTTCAGAACACCAGGAGGAAACACGGCTGCAGCTGTGAGAAAACACAGGGTAGCCACACAAGAGTCTTTCAATTGACAAGTAAACCTAAGTGTCACCTGCTGGATTAAACTCCAAAACTTCAACACCAAAAATACCTCACTAACATACCCCACTCTGAAGCCAGAGACAAGAAGTCAGCTTCAAATAAAGATACTACACAAAGCTTTGGCCCAGTGAAAACATCCAGAAAAGTATATTGACTGTACCCAATCTACATTGCAGTTAAAGGAACACCCACATGCAGAGGTAAGAAAGAACCAATGCAAGAACTCTGGTAACTCAAATGACCAGAGTGTCATATGTCCTCCAAATGACCACATCAGTTCTACAACAAGGGTTCTTAACAAGGCCAAACTAGCTGGAATGACAGAAATAGAATTTAGAATATGGCTAGACACAAAGATCAAGATTCAGGAGGATAACAAAACCCAATCCAAGGAAAATAAGAATTACATTGAAGTGATACAGGAGCTGAATGACAAAATAGCCAGTATAAAAAAGTACCTAATGGGACTGACAGAGCTGATTTTTTGCAATGCAATCACAAGAATTAACATCAGAATAAACCAAGATGAGAAATGCATGTCAGAACTTGAAGACAGGTTTGCTGAAATAGGACAGGAAAAAAAAGCATGAACAAAACCTCTGAAAAGTATGGAATTTTGTAAAGAGGCCTAATCTATGATTCATTGGCATCCCTGAAAGGGAGGGGGAGAAAGCAAACAACTTGGAAAATAGATTACAGGATATCATCCATGAAAACTTTCTCAACCTTGCTAGAGAGGTCAACAGTCAAATTCAGGAAATACAGAAAACTCCTGCAAGATTGATACAAGATCATCTCCAAGACACACCATCATCAGATTTTCCAAGGTCAAAATGAAAGAATATTAAAGGCAACTAGAGACAAAAGGCAGGACACCTGCAAAGGATCCCCATCAGGCTAACAGCAGACCTCTCAGCTGAAACCCTATGAGTCAGGAGAGATTGGTAAGCCTATAATCAACATTCTTAAAAAAAAAAAATCTTCAACCAGAATTTCATATCCAGCCAAACTAAGCTTCCTAAGTGAAGGAGAGATAAGGTCCTTTTCAGATAAACATTGAGGGAGTTCATTACCATCAGACTGGCCAGACAAGAGATCATGTAAGTAACACTAAATATAGAAAGAAAGAACCACTAACAGCTAATACAAAAACACACTTAAACACACAGATCAGTGTCACTGTAAAAGCAACCACACAAACAAGCCAACATAATGACCAACTAACAGTATAATGACAGGATCAAATTCACATATATTAATACTAACCTTGAATGTAAATAGGCTAAATGCCCCACTTAAAAGGCACAGAGTGGCAAGCTGGATAAAAAAGCAAGACCCAATGGTATGCGGTCTTCAAGAGACCCATATCACATGTAATGACACTCATAGGCTCAAAATAAAGGGATCGAGAAAAATCTACCAAGCAAATAGAAAAAATAAAAAAAAAAACAAAACAGGAGTTGCAATTCTAATTTCAGACAAAACAGATTTCAAACCAAAAAAGATAAAAAAAAAAAAAAAAAAACAAGAAGGAGGGCATTACATAATGGTAAAGGATTCAATTCAACAAGAAGACCTAACTATCCTAAATACATATACACCCAACACAGGAGCACCCAGATTCATTAAGCAAGTTCTTAGAGACCTACAAAGAGACAGACTCTCACACAATAATAGTGGAAGATTTGAACATTCCACTGACAGTATTAGACAGATCATCAAGGCTGAAAATTAACAAAGATATTCAGGACATAAACTAAGCATTTAACCAAATGGAACTGATAGGCCTTTACAGAAGCCTCCAGCCCAAAACCATAGAATAAACATTCTTCTAATAGTCATGTGATGCATACTATAAAATTGACCACATAATTGGACATAAAATAATCTTCAACAAATGTAAAAGAACTGAAATCATACCAAACACACTCTCAGGCTACAGTGAAATAAAAATAGAAGTCAACACAATAAAAATCGTTCAAAACCATACAATTACATGGAACTTAAACATGATCCTGAATGACTTTTAGGTAAATAATGAAATTAAGGCAGAAATCCAAGAATTTTTTTTGAAAATAATGAGAACAAAGATACAACATACCAGAATCTCTGGGACATAGCTAAGACAGTGTTAAGAGAGAAATTTGTAACACTAAATGCCAACTTCAAAAAGTGAGAACTCAAATGAGCAATCTAACTTCACAACTGAAAGAAGTAGATAAGCAAGAATAAATCAACCTCAAAGCTAGCAGAAGATGAGAAATACAAAAATCAGAGCTGAACTGAGGAAAATTGAGACATGAAAAATAATTCAAATGGTCAATAAATCTAGGAGTTGGTTTTTTGAAAAAATTAAGAAACTATGCCACTAGCTATACTAATTAAGAAGAAGAGAGAGGGAAGATCCAAATAAGCAGAATTAGAAGTGATGAAGGAAATGTTACTACTGACTCCACAGAAATAAAAGATACATCAGAAACTACTATGAACACCTCTATGCACACAAACTAGGAAACAGAAGAGATGGATAAATTCTTCAATAAAGCTGACAAAAAATAGCAATGCACAAAAGACTGCCTATTCAATAAACGGTGCTGGGATAACTGACTAGCCATATGAAGAAAATTGAAGCTGGACTCCTTCCTTACACAATATATAAAATCAACTCCAGATGGATTAACAACTTAAATGTAAAACCCAGAATTATGGCCGGGCATGGTGGCTCATTCTTGTAATACCCGGCACTTTGAGAGGCTGGGGCAGGCAGATCACCTGAGGTCAGGAGTTCGAGACCAGCCTGGCCAACATGGTGAAACCCTATCTCTACTAAAAAAATACAAAAATTAGCCAGCATGCTGGCATGTGCCTATAATCCCAGCTGAATGAGAGGCTGAGGCAGGAGAAACACTTGATCCGAGGAGGCGGAGGTTGCAGTGAGCCAATATCACATCACTGCACTCCAGCCTGGGTGACAGAGAGAGACTCCATCTCAAAAAAAAAAAAAAACCAAAATTATAAAAACCCTGGAAAATAACATAGGCAATACCATCCTGGACATAGTAACAGGCAAAGATTTCATGACAAAAACACCAAAAGCAATTGCAACAAAAGCAAAAATTGACAAATGGGATCTAATTAAACTTAAACAGAAAAAGAAACTATCAACAGAGTAAACAGACAACCCACAGAAATAAAAGAAAATAGTCGCAAACTATGCATCTGAGAAAGGTCTAATATCCAGAATCTACAAGGAACATAAATTTACAAGAGGAAAACAATCCCACTAAAAAGTGTGCAAAGTTGGGAGGCCAAGGCGGGCAGATCACAAGGTCAGAAGTTTGAGACCAGCTTGGCCAACATGGTGAAACCCTGTCTCTACTAAAAAAAAAAAAATATATATATATATATATATACAAAAATTAGCCAGACGTGGTGGTGTGCACCTGTAATCCCAGCTACTTGGGAGGCTAAGGAAGGACAATTGCTTGAACCTAGGAGGCAGAGGTTTCAGTAAACCGACATCACGCCACTGCACTCCAGCCTGGGTGATAGAGCAAGACTCCAGCTCAAAAAAAAAAAAAAAAATGTGGGCAAAGGACATAAACAGACACTTCTCAAAAGAAGACATACATGTGGCCAAAAAGCATGTGAAAAAAAAGCTCAATGCCACTGATCATTACAGAAATGCAATAAAAACCACAATAATATACCACCTTATACCAGTCAGAATGGCTATTATTAAAAAGTAAAAAAATAGGCCAGGCACAGTGGCTCATGCCTGTAATCTCAGCACTTTGGGAGGCTGAGGTGGGCAGATCACCTGAGGTCAGGAGTTCGAGGCCAGACTGGCCAACATGGTGAAAGCCCATCTCTACTAAAAATACAAAAAAAAAAAAAAAATTAGCCAGGCATGGTGGTGCATGCCTGTAATCCCAGCTATTCAGGAGGCTGAGGCAGGAGAATCACTTGAAACCAGGAGGTGAAGGTTGCAGTGAACCAAGACCATGCCATTGTGCTCCAGCTTGGGCTACTAGAGAGAAACTCAGACTCAAAAAAGAAAAAAAAAGTCAAAAAATAATAGATGCTGGCAAGGTTGCAAAAAAAAGGGAATACTTATACACTGTTAGTGGGAGTGTAAATGAGTTCAACATTTGTGGAAAGCAGTATGATGATTCCTCAAAGAGCTAAAAGAACTAGCATTCAACCTAGAAGTTCCATTACTGAGTATGTACCCAAAGGAATATAAAGCCTTCCACCATAAAGATGCATTCACACAAATGTTCATTGCAGTACTGCTTACAATAACAAAGACATGGGTTCAACCTAAAAGCCCATCAATAACAGACTGGATAAAGAAAATGTGGCACATATACATCATGAAATAATATAGTCACAAAAAAAGAATGAGATTATGTCTTTTGCAGGAACATGGATGGAGCTGGAGGCTATTATCCTTAGCATATTAATGCAGAAACAGAAAACCAATTACCACATGTTCTCACTTATAAGTGGGAGCTAAATGATAAGAACTTATGAACCCAAAGAAGGAAACAACTGATACTGGGGCCTTCTTGAGGTGAGAGGGTGGGAGGAGAGAGAGAAGCAGAAAAGACAACTACTGGGTACTGAGTTTAATATCTGGGTGATGAAATAATGTGTGCAACAACCCCCCATGACACATGCTTATTTAGGTTATCAACATTCACAAGTACCCCCAAACCTAAAATAAAAATTAAAAATAAAATTTTGAAACATAAATATTAGATGTAAGTTCTATTTTAAGTGTTGATTTTGGATGCATAGCAAACTTAGGTCAGCATACACATAAAGGACTTCTAAATAGGGTAGTGTATAGTTTAATTTGTATTTTATTTGTATACAGATTTATATTTGTTGTCTAAAATAAAACTGTCAATTGACCATTTATTTATCCTCATTTTTTTGTAATGTGGGTATTTCTAAGGGAATAGGAGATCTTTTAGAAATGTCTTCCATTGGATCTTTGTTTGGTCTCAGACTGCTGGTCTGAAAGACATAAGGATGAATATGTAACTCAAGGTAACATAAGATTCTGATTTGCTAACATAAATTTTAGTTTGACTTAGATTTCTTGGGATTACTAAAAGAAAGAGCCTGAAGCAGTTGGATGGATAGGCAAGGATTCCAAAGAGAGAACTCGAAATATATTCTCTGTTTCCCGTCTAAGCAGAAATATTGGATAAATTTGCAGACAGAGTTATGTATTTGATGGACTTATTCATAGAGACTCAAACACCTCATTAATGATAAACTGTTGCCTAGAGTCTCGAAGATCATGCAGATAGCAAAAAAGGGGGGGGAAATAAATGTTTGGCAGCATTAGTGGGGAATGCGCAATAGCTAACATATATCCCCTTACATTGCATTATTAATATTATAACTGAGTAATATTCTACATACATATATCTCTAAGTCTGGATACTTTTGAGAATAAAAAGACAGAGACCATTCCAGGCAAACCTAGACATATGGTCCTACTATGTATTGGGCTCCTTATTTATGCCTTTCACTGATGCTAGGCTTGCTAAATACATTTTGTATTTATATCTTCACAGTAACTATTCAAAGAGGTTACTATTATTAACATTTGAATTTTTAAAAAAACACCTGAGGTTCAGGAGATTTTGTAATTCACTTATGTTCTCACAGATAACATGTGCCAGAGCTGAGATTTTTTTTTCACAATCCTCACAATCCCTCTTAGTATCCACTATTTTTTATGCTGGTCTGATTCACCCATTTTTTTGTACATGGCCTGAGTTCTAGAAACCATTTGAATTTATGACCTCTACTCCAAGTTGTAATAAACAGTTCAACAAAGATACTAGCTATTTACTTTATACAAACAAAATGGAAAACATAATCATTATTTTCCTACAAAAAAGATGTTTTAATGCAGTGATACATTGGAATATCTGAGTTTTAGAAAATTCCAATAGAATCATATTTATATTTTAGTCAGATATTAATATTCTTGGAATAGGACATTTGGATGAATAATTATTTCACCTTGTTATTGCAACTTTTGATATGAGAAAAATTTTCTAGCTAATTATGTGGTGAGAATGTCTTTTTAAATCTCTTAATTAATTTAATGGGAAATGATAGCATATTGAGTTATATAAATGTTTATTTTCCATGTAAACCTTATTTTGTCTGAAGCATAGAATAAGGCAATCAAATAATTCTTTTAGCCAGGATTATGCTTAGTCAGAAAAGTCTAATTTTAACTCTGCTGGATAAGGAAGCAGAAAGTTGAATATCAATGAAAGCAAAATTCCTATGTTATTGAGGTAGATAAGGAAATGAGTTTTGATTCTTATTAAGTGGCATTAATTAATGATGCAACTTTTGTGTTACTAACGTGCTACTTGAAATCCTATCAAAATGAATACTAATATGCCTTCTTGTACTTTTAAATATACAAATAACAATATATTCCATTCTGTATATAAAGTATAGATCCTTGTTATTATGGTACATTGTAAAATGGTGAGTTTCTTGTATATTTGAAAAGACAACTTGATAATCTAAAATTTAGTTCAATGTTAAAATTAGTAACATTTAATAGACATTAAATACAATATTATTATTTTTGAAAGTTAATAGTATTAATGTTTCAGATACAAAACTCCTCACTAATCTTAGATTTCATATAATTTTTAACATGAAGAAAGCACCAGCCAATCATGGGTACCAATCTGTTTTAAGGCTTGAGCCATCCTGAGAAACATTCTATCAATCACAATTGGGATTCTTGGAATAAGGTCAAATTTATAGTTAGACCATATATTTCTGAAATTATATATTTAGCTGAGAATACAGGATAAGATATATGATTAATTATGCAATGACACAACTAACACTGAAGCACAGAGAGTTCTTAATAACTTGTTTTTCTTCTTTTCCTAGGTACTAGTGTCACTTGTCCTCATACATAAAAGAAATAAAAAGACAACTTGGCATACTGCTTCAGGCCCATAGTTTATTCTGACCATCGTTTTGTTTCTGATAATGACCCTAAGGATTAAGAAAAATAGAATAAATGAAATCAAGTTCTATACTGACTTATCTGACATTGAAAGTTGTTGTGTGAATGTAGTTAACATAAAACAGAAGGCTAGAGACACAGAGGGTGTATTTATGCGTTGATTATCCAATTTACTTAATTACGTGGCTTTGGGCAATTACATAGATTTTCTGAGCATCAGTTTCTTTCTATATAAATGGGAAGTAATTATATCACTCTTGTATTTTGTGGAAGGATTAAACATACAATGTACAAGAATAGGTCTTCAAACTTTAAGTTTCATACAAATGACAGTTATGTCACTATCATCTTTTTTTCCTCAAGTATTTGAATGTGGCATAAGAAAACTAAGGACGTTTGAATTTTCTTTGCATGCAGAAGAAGAAAAGAAAAAGGGAGAAGCTCTAATTTGTGTATGGGAGAGTGAGATTATAAGGCTCAAATTAGAGCAGTTTATCTGCCTGTCCCCGGCATTATTTTACTTCTCTTTTTGGAATTGGAACGTAATATAGTTTGAAATTGTGTCCCCATCGAAATCTCATGCTGAATTGTAATCCCCAGTGTTGGAACATAAGCCTGGTAGGAGGTGATTGGATCATGGAGAAGGATTTCCCCCTTGCTGTTCTGGTAATAGTAAGTGAGTTCTCACAAATCTGGTTGTTTAGAAGTGTGTAGCACTTCCCCCTGTTCTCTCTTCCTCCTGCTCCAGTCATATAAAACGTGCTTGCTTCCCCATCCACCATGAGGCCTCCTCAGCCATGCTTCCTATACAGCCTGTGGAACTGTGAGCCAATTAAACCTCTTTTATTTATAAATTACTCAATCTCAGGGGTAGTTCTTTACAGCAATGCGAGAATGGACTAATACAAAAATTGGTACCTAGGAGTGGGGCATTGCTATAAAGATATCTGAAACTGTGGAAGTAACTTTGGAACTGGGAAATGGGAAGATGCTGAAACACTTTGGAGGGCTAGGAAGAAGACAAGAATATGAGGGAAAGTTTGGAACTTCCTAAAACCATAAATTGTTGTGACCAAAATGCTAATAGTGATATGGACAATGAAGTCCAGGCTGAGGTGGTTTCAGATGGAGATAAGGAACTTGTAGGGAACTGGAGTAAGCTCACTCTTGCTATTCTTTAGCAAAGATATTGGTGGCATTGTGCCCCTGCCGTAAAGATCTTTGGAACTTTGAACTTGAGAGAGATTATTTAGGTTATCTAGCAGAAAAAAATTCTAAGCAGTAAAGCATTCAAAAAGTGTCCTGGCTGATTCTGCTAAACTATGCTCACATTCATGAGCAAAAAACAAAACAAAACAAAACATAAAACTGGAACTTATATTTAAGTGGAAGCAGAACATAGAGCAAAAAAAAAATACATAAAACTGGAATTATATTTAAACAGAAGCAGAACATAAAAGTTTGTAAAATTTGAGGCCTGACCAAGTGGTAGAAAAAAAAAAACACATTCAGGGGAGGAATTCAATCATGCTGCATACATTTGCATATGTAAAGAGGAGCTGAATATTAATAGTCAAGAAAATGAGAAAAATGCCTTGAAGGTATTTTAGAGACCTTTGCAGCAGCCTCTCCCATCACAGATCCAGAGGCCTTGGAGGGAAGAATGGTTTCATGGGCCAGGCCCAAGGCTGCCCTGTGCAACCTTGAGACACTGTGTCACAGGATCCTTGGGGTGTCTCTTTGCCAGCTGGAAACCTCTGTGGCTAGTGGCATCTTCTGTCTGAGTATTGCTTGTACCCACTGGGTTTGTTCCGCCCACTCAGCCTGGCAGGCTGTGCTTGGCTTGCGCTCCTAACCTGAATCCCACATCTGCCAAGGGCAAGGCAGGTGTGGAGCAGTGAGGTGTGTGTGGGCAAGTGAGTGCGGGATCCAGCCACTGTGCACAGCCAGGCATCCTGGCTGCTGTGGTGGGACAGGCAGCTCCAGGCACAGGCACAGATGCCAGCTCCATGCAAGTTTGCAGCTGGACCAGATGTACAGCATGTGGCTTTCACTGTGGGTACCTATGTCTGGACGAGGAGAACACAGTGGTGCCTGGAAGCTTGGAGACATCAAGAACCACAGAACCCCAAAGAGGATGTCACAGCCTTGGCTCAGGGAGCCCCTAGGTCTGGGCTTCCTGAAGGTCAATATCTCTTCCCTCCTTCTCACTGCCCACAATGTGGCAAGCAGGGGGGCATGTTTCAGCCCTGCTTGTGTTACTGCTCTTTTGGTCATGCCATTCAGCAGGTCCTGAGGTTTTGTCCCATGTCTGGGAAGGATGAGGTATGTGGACAACTAGAGGGTGAGCAAGGCAGAGCAGAGCTTCATTGAGCAGCAGAACAGTTCTCAGGAGACCCAAAGTGGGTAGCTCCTTTCTGCAGGCAGGTCATTCCAATCAGTGTCCAGCTCTCAGCAGAGAGGAAACCTGCAGTGGGTAGCTCCTTTCTGCAGGCAGATCATCCCAATATATGCAGCCCTCATCAAAGAGGAGACCCAGTTTGGGTATCTACTATCTGCAGGCAGGTCGTCCTGTCATCTACCCAACTCTGGCTGAGTCCAGGGTATTTATGGGTTTCAGAGGAGAGAAAGTGTGTGCTGATTGGTCCATGGGTAGCCATGGGCAGACCTGGAAAACGCACCATAAGTTCTCAATCCAGTCTGCCGAAGTGGCAGCCAAGCCCCCAGGCTTCAGACATTCCCTGGTTTGGGGGTAGGGTTTCACCAGGGACCCACCCCTTTCCACCTAGGAGCCTGTCCTGCCTTCTCCACCATCAATCTGCCATCCATGGTGCCCAAGCAGTTCATGCCAAGGGGTGCCTGCATGCCCATGCTGAACCACCCTTAGCCACCCCTTGGTATGCCTCCCATGCTTATCAGCACCCAGAATCTGAAGGGGGCTGAGGCAGCAGGGGGCTGCTGTGTCAGTTCTGCCCCAAGCATGCACACACCCAGCCAGGTTGCAACAGTGCCAGGGTTCAGCCTCAACTTTGCTCCAAAATTGGAGTGGGTGCCAAAAGCAGGGAGAGGCCAGTCAGCAAAAGTAGGCACTTCTAAGCCTGCAGGGGCAGGGGGCCTTCTCAGGCCCCCAAGAGCACAAGGATGTCCAGGTCTGCAGCCACAGCGGGGCAGCTGCAGATGTGCCCATGAGGGCAGGGCTCTCCTCCCCCACATCCCCCCACTCCCCCAACTCAGAAGGGGGCAGGGCTCCTGCCTGTTCCTGACCCCAGCTGTCTCTGTGGAGCACATGGCCCTGCCTGCGCCTCACCCACTGCAGCCGGCATCATGACGGCAGCTGCTCCAGATGTGCTGCCACTGCCATCACCTGCATCCTAGCTGCTCCTGCTCCAGCTGTACCTAAAAAGGCCCCAGGTACATCTCAGGCCATTGTTCCAGAGAGTGTAAGCTGTAAACCTTGGTGGCTTCCACGTGGTCTTAAGCCTGTGCATGCACCCAGGGCAAGATCTGCGGCTTATGAACCTCTGCCTGGATTTCAGATGATGTATGGGAATGTGTGGATGTCCAAGCAAAAGCCTGCTGCAGGATGTGGAGCCCTCATGTAGAAGCTCTACTAGGGCACGGCAGAGTGGAAATGTGGGGTTGGAGCCCCCACACAGAGTCCCCATGGGGCACTGCCTAGTGAAGTTGTGAGAAGGGACCACCATCCTCCAGACCCCAGAATGGTAGATCCACTGACAGCTTGCACCATGTGCCTGCAAAAGACACAGGCACACAAAGCCAATCCTTGAGGGCAGCCATGGTAGCTGAGCCCTGCAAAGCCACAGGGGCAGAGCTGCCCAAGGCCTTGGGAGCCCACCTCTTGTATCAGTGTGGACTGGATGTTAGACATGGAGTCAAAGAAGATTATTTAGGAGCTTTATGATTTAATGGCTGCCCTACTGAGTTTCCTATTTGCATGGGGCCTGAAGCCTTTTTTTTTTTTTTTTATAGGCTCATAGATGAAAGGGACTTGCCTTGTCTCATGTGAGACTTGGGGCTGTGGACTTTTGAGTTAATGCTAAAATGAGTTAAAACTTGAAGGACTGTTGAGAAGGGATTGTATTTTGCAATGTGAGAAGGACATAAAATTTGGGAGGGGCCAGGAGCAAAATGATACAGTTTGAATTTGTGTCCCTGAACAAATCTCATGTCAAATTGTAACGCCCAATGTTGGAGGAGAGGTGTGGTGTGATGTTATTGCACCATGGGGGTGGATTTCCCCCTTGCTATTTGCATGATAGTGAATGAGTTCTTACGCAATCTGGTTATTTAAAAGTCTGTAGCACCTCCCCCTCTACTCTCTTCCTCCTGCACTGGCCATGTAAGACATGCCTTCTGCCCTTCACCTTCTGCCATGATTAAAAGTTTCCTGAGGCCTCCCCAGCCATGCTTCCTGTATAGGCTGTGGAACTATAAGCCAATTAAACCTCTTTTCTTTATAAATTACCCAATCTCAGGTAGTTCTCTATAGAAATGTGAGAACAGACTAATACAGAACACATAAGCTTTGATGAGTGGGCCTTTTAAGCCAATACCCACTAATGACTATTTTACTTCAGTTTGCTGAAAATTCACTACAACAAAAACAAAATTTTAATGCTCTTATAAATTGTTAAGAATTGATTAACAAAAAATTGTAACAGAATCTTGTACTATACCAAATGTCAGTTTTCCTAATGAGATTATGAGGATAATGGCAGTTTTTGTTTGATACAATGAACTACGGATAACCTTTATATGGACAGTTGACAACCTACACTATATTTCTGAGAATAAAATTGCGGTAACTTGACAAATTAGAAATCTAAATCAAAGAAAACAATGAACTTGCTCATACTGTGAGCTAAGTGATAGTTCCAACAGAAGCAACTATATTGCTTTAGACTAAATTATACTACTCCAACTGTAGCTATTGTGAGTCACATCACTAACTTTAAATTTCTAAAACTTCTTGCTTAATATAAAAATTGTGCTGAGTGTTGTAGATTCTGTATGAAGACAAAATGAATCATAGAACCAAAATGATAGACAACTTTTTATAAAAATTATAAGGCAATAACTGGCCTTTCCACCTCATTTTGCTATTTTACTTTGTTGATTTGTATTTAATTATGTTTTCTTAGCTTGTACCACACCAAGTGGTGGAACAATACTAAAAAGTGAATAATAACTCAAGGGTAGAGAAAACACATTTATGTTCCCCAATATTCAGACCACACGTCTCTATGATGGAAAGTGAGTATTTGGAGGCAGGAATGAACTAGTGCTCATGGGTGAGGGCAGCAGTGTCTTAATTTGCAAACCAGATCCATCCCACAGGGGCACATACTTCATGAAAATGTTTCTTTCAAACCCAGTATTCTGTCATTCAGGGAAGGTTTCCAGCCAAAACATTTGCTGGCTGTCAAGAGAAAATGAAAAGCATTCTGTCAGTTCACTGCCTTTGGCACCAAAGGAAAAAAAAAAAAAAAACAGCTGTAAGTCTTTGTATAGTTCTTGTCCCATGGCTGCTAGAAGGGGTAACAATACTCAGTTCCCAGAGAGAGAAAGAGACAAAGGCTATGAAACTACGTGATTGCTTGCTGCTTCCATGCCACTTTGTCAGGTCTTACGGATATGAGCTGAAGCAGCAGCTGCTAAAATTGTTGCTCCATTCTCCAATTCTCTCCCAACCTGCTCCACTTTTTCTAGTAATTAAAGGCCTCAAAGGCATGTGACTCACTTCGTAACCACAGGAGGCTAGATCTAAACATGAGTAAAGCAAGCAGTGGCACGTGTGGTATAACCTGTGGGAGTATCAGAGTCCCTTATTTTACATTTTCTGAAATGTCAACATTAGACATTCTTTTTAAATTAATTAATTAAATGTCTCGATAGGGAAGGAAGCCCATTAAACATATTCAGACCACATTTTTCCATATCCTGACAAGAGCATCCTCAGTAAATAAGAAAATGAGGAGCCTCCAGCAGGAGAAAAAGTGCTGATGAGAGGGAGTAGTGGAAGGGGTCAAGGCAGAAATGGCAATTGAATGAGAAAATGAGCATGCCTAAGACAAAAAAATAACCCTATGTCTAGTTCTGTTAGAATCGTTTGCAAGTCAAAGGCACCTTTACTAACAGGTCAAAAGGAAAAATCCCAAGAGTCCTCTGGAATAGTAAAAATAATGACCTTAATAAAAAATTTTTACAACACTTTGAATTTTTGAAAACATATGCATTTATTGACAAGGCAATAAATATCAATAAGATTAGCATTTTATTTGCATTCACATATGCAATTGTGTATTACATCTTGCCTCAACTACGGGTAGTTAATGCTCCTGCTCTCCATAGGCAAAAAACTAAGGAGTTGTGCGTGTGTGTGTGTGCATGTATTTGTGTGTGTGTGTGTGTGTGTGTGTGTGAATGTATGGGAGGAGATGAAGTGGTGATTAAGCACATTCTGTTAACTACAAGAGAGGTAGGTAAAGCACATGTTGTTCAATATTTAATCAACTTCATATTTTTGGAGAAATCTTTGCATATGTATTTTGTCTACATTATTGCGATATTTTACTAAGAGTTTCAGCATTTGTTTTTACTTTCAGGTAATCACTCAATAATTATAAAATCATCTGTAGTTTCTGCAAAGATCTAAATGTTACTAAGAACTTTTAAAATATTTTTGTCATAATCATAATTCACAATTCACTAATGATTATTTATTTTTATAGAAGCATACATATCAATAGTCTGTGAATGATGACAGTTCTATTTTTTCTTTTCAAACTTTATATCTCTTATTATTTAATTTCTTGCTTTCTTACAGTAGCTGGAAACTCCAGTACAACATTGAGTAAATATTATGATAGTAAATATCTTTGTATCATTCCTGATTTCAACAGGAAATTTTTCACTAGTTCACCATTAAGCATCACAATTGCTGTAGATTTTTTTGTTGATACTTTCTTTGGTAATTTGAGTGTTTTATTTTTCAGTAATTGTGTCCACAACGTATACATTTCTCCTTCAACCAGCAAGTATTGTTAAATTTTTGGAGAATCTTTCTCTCACTAGGTAAGAGGAAGGAGATCTCTTGCTATAAAAGCAGTTGTTGAGACCTAACAATCTGTAACCATAACCAATGGGCCATCTGCTTGTTGCCACAGTAGTGTGATTTCTGAGGCTGAGGTTAGCATTTTAAATGATAATATTATTATATTAATTTTATAAGGTTATCTTGTAAAACATACTGTTGGTTAATTTTATGTGTCAGCTTGACTGGGCTAAGAAATTTCCAGGTAGCTGGTTACACATTATTTCTGGGCCTGTGTATTAGGGCATTTCCAGAGAGATTGCCTTTTGAATCAGTTGATAATTTTGATTGACTAAAAGCATTTAAAATCACTGAGTCATTGATTTTTTTAACATTAAAAAGTTTATTGTATTTAATTTTATTTTAGAGTAAAGGGGTACGTGGGCCGGTTGTTAAATGGGTATATTGCATAATTTGGGGGCTTAGGCTAGTAAATGATATTGACATGATTATATGATGTTTTTCTCCTTCACTTTGTTAGTTTGGTAAATTAATGCCATTGATATTTAAATGTTAAACTAATCCTGCATTCCTGCAATAAATCAATGAAGTTATGTATTTCATAGTTCATGGTGGAGATCTGTTATATCAAATTACTTTCCCTTACACAAGCTTGTGTTCCAGTCCTCTTGATCTAGCAACCTCATGTACTCCCGTACGTACTAGTCCAGTTCTTGTATATGTTGCCTAGGTGCTACAGCTCCTTGATGTCCTTTTCTCTTGTAGTTTACCAGGGACTTTCCTAACAGGATTATGTTATGACTTAATCTTCATTATCTGGTAACCAGAAGGAGAAATGGGGCTAGATCTTAAAGGACGGCGTGTATTGTCTTGCAAGACAGAGGACTTTGCATCATGTTAAGGCAAGAATAGAGTTCTAGCCTTTAACAGAGAACAGGGAGCAAATATCGCAGGTCCACAAAGTTTCAGAAAATATAGAGATTTAAGATTGTCTAGTGCATCAATCCTGATGCCCACATCCAATCCCTCAAAGTCCCAATCTTCCCAATCATGTTTCCAAATTGAGCATAGCAGACTTGCTACTGTTGCTGGGAATTCAACGTCCTCTAAAGTTCTGCAATTATAATTTTTATAAGTAAGCTTTTGCTTTGCTTTTTTTTTTCTTTCTAATGTCTGTAAGAGATGAGAAGCTCATGATATGCAACAAGGGAAATTCACTCATTTTCAAAATTAGCCAAAAACACAGTCAGCCTTTCATTATCTTCAAGGCATCAATTGCTTTAGTAACAGCCATATAATTACCAGTCCCTGTGTACAGCTCAATTTACTAGTGCATCCTCTTACACCATGAAACTACCACATGCTGGGGCCTATACCCTCTCACTACCAGTGATGGGATTCACATTGATTACTGGCCAGTGAGTGACCCAACTGCAAATATATATTTTATGGTCTGCTTCCTCCAGCCACTCCTCGCACCAAGTGTCATAGGTTAGGTTCCCCAGAAAAGAAATTCGAAAAGGAACTTTGCATGCAGAAATTTTATTGAGATGTGCCCCCATAATCCACAACTGTGCAGATGTGAATTAAGCTAGATAGGGCAATAAGGGAAGTTGAATTGTGATAAAAAGGTTTCAGTCAATTTCACAAGAAGCTGTGAAGCTGGGATGGCTCAACAGACTTGTCTCAAATTGCGGCAACAGTATCGTGGCCTATGTATCCCTTCATTTTACAGTCATTGGATGCAGGTTGCCCCAAGGAAGTGCATATGACCTTGAATGAGATGTTTTCTGTCCACTGAAAGCAATTCCTGAAGCTGTCAGCAATCAAGAATCCCATCAGCTGTGGAAATGAGTGTTTTAGTCCTGAAAAGAATGGTGTCTGGGAGGCACATCACAGCATCCTCTTCTTTAAGTATACATGTTCCTACTGTTCTAGTGTTTACCCTAGAATTCAAAACATGCCTTGACCTATTAATGCCTATTTTAAAATAGTATCTTTACTGCTTCCCAGACAATGTAAGGACTTTAAAACACTTTAACATCATTTACTTATTCTGCATTTTGGGTATTGTTGCCATGTATTTAGAATTTAACTGTATTTTAAACTCCATAAGATGTTTGTATTATTGTTTTAAATAGTCAATGATCTTTTCTACTTATAGAGATATTAATTTTTACTGGTGCTTTTAAATTTCTATTAAAAACAGTATTTTTCTATCTGTGATTAGTTTTCTCCTGTTTGAAAAAAATATCTTCTAGTATTACAGTTCTGAAGATAACAATTTCTCTTAGTGTTTGTATATATTTTTCTGAAAACACTTTATTTCACCTTGTAATTTTAATTGACATTTTTGAAGTACCACTTACATGTGATTAAAAAAATCACATATTTTAGGCAGAATGATAATTTTTGACAAATATATACACTTGCTTATCCACCAACCAAATACTGATGTAGAATATTTCAATTGCTTCAGAAAGGTTTCCCCTCTTCCCTTTCAGTCAATCCCCTCTCCTACCTTTACTCAGGTAAACAGATTATTACTACCACTATTAATTACTATCACTGTTAGGTAGTTTTGTAAGCTATATAATATAATTTGAATGAGATCATACCCTACATACTTTTATTGAGACTGGTTTCATTCATTCAGCACTGATGCCTTGAGATTTATCTAAGTTACTGCATGTATCCATGTTTGTTCATTTTAATTTTGAATGAGATTCGCTTGTAGATGTATACAATTTATTTATCCATTCACTTATGGATGGACATGTATGTTGTTTCCCATTTGGGATTGTTATGAATTAAGTTGCCATAATTATTTATATACAAGTCATATGGATATATCCTTTCATTTCTCTTGATAAATGCCTAGAGATGGAATTGCTGGGTCACATGATGTTATGATGTTTATGATTTTTTTTCTGAGAAGCAGCCAAAATATTTTCCAAAGCATCTCTACCATTTACTTTTCCAATTGTCTGTGAGTGAAAGTTTCTTTGGCCCATATTACCCCCAACATTTGATATTGTCAGTCTTTTACATTTTGTCATTCTAGTAGCTGTGAAGAGGCATGTCTTGCTAATTTTAATGTGCATTTCATTACTAACTACACTTAGCATATTTTCATGTGCTTATTGATTATCAGTGTATTTTATTTAGTGAAATGTTTGTCCAAGATTTTGTCTATATTTTGTTGGGTTGCTTGTACTTTTATTATTACATCGTAAAAGTTTGCTGAATATTCTATGCATAAGATATTTGATATGTAAATGCTTTGTGACTATTTTTCCCCTGGTTGAGCTTACATTTTCATTTTCTTAATGAAGTCTTTTGAAGAGAAGGTTTAATGTTGATGTCCAATTTGTCAATTTTTACTTTTCCAGTTAGTGCTTTTTGTATGTGTTTAAGTAACATTGCCTGTCGTAAGGTTACAAAAGTTTCTCTTCTGTTTTCTTTAGTTTTTAGGTTTGAGTTAGTGATCTATTTTTCGATAGTTTTCATTTTTTAGTTATATTTTTAAGTTAACATACAGTAAAATGGAATTTTGTGGTAGACATTACATAAATTTTAACACATGTAAGGATTTATGAAACCACCACCACAGACAGAATACAAAACAGTTGCATCATAGCCAAAATTTCCTCCTGTTGTGCCTTTGTAGTTATCTTCTCCCACCCTTAACCACTACCAACTAATAATCTGTTATCTATCACTCTAGTTTTCTATTTTTGAGAATATCACACAACAGCCCATGTCACAACTATGCAACCTGTACAGTTCCATGTCTAGAAGATCCTTACTCTTGTTCTGCACTAAAATGTTTTTGAATTTTTTAATAGTTTATGAACAAAGGGGTGTGCATTTTTTTTGTTGCACATAAATGCATAAAGAATATAGCCAGTCTTTATGTCATATAAATAGAATCATATAGATTATAACTACTTGTGATTAACTTTCCTCACTTAGCATAATTCCCTGGAGACTTATGCAAATTTTTGCATGTATAAATAATTTATTCCTTTTAATTGCTGTGGAGCATTCCATTTTGTGGATATACCAGTTTGTTTATTCATTCATCCATTGAAGAGCATTAGGGTGGTTTCCAGTTATTGGCAATTATAAACAGAGCTGCTCAAAGCATTTATATACAGATATTTTTGTGAGGAAAATTCCTCAATTTACTTTTGTAAGTACCTTGGAATGAGATCAGTAAGTCATATAGTAAGTGCATGTTTAACTTTTTAAGAACCTACATTTTTTTTTCAATGTGGGTATATTATTGTACATTCCCACCAGCAAGGTATGTGAATTCCAGTCGCTATGCACTATCATTAGCACTTGATATTGTCAGTATATTTTGTTTTAGCCATTCCAATAGATGTATAATGTTACTGCATGGTCTTTTCATATGTTTATTCACCATTTATAGGTTTTCATTGGTGAAGTGTACAAGTATTTTGCCCACTTTAAAATAGGGATATTTGCTTCCTTACTGTTGAGTTTTGACTTATCGATACAGTCTGGATACAAATCTTTTGTCACATAAGTGATGTTCTGAAAACATTTTCTTCAAGTCTCCAACCTATATATTTTTCTCTTAGAGGTGTGTTTTGCCAAACTCATGTTTTTAATTCGATAAAATCAAATTTATTATTCTATACTTTTCTTGATTGTGTTTTTGGTTTCATGACTAAGAACACCTTGTCTAATTCTTGGTCACAAAGGTTTTCTCCAGTGTTTTCTTCTAATAGTTTTATAATTGTACATATTACATTTAAATCTGTGACTCATTCTTTGTTAATTTTTTTAAAAGGTATGAGGTTTTCCTCAAAGCTAACTTATTTGCATATGAATATCCAGTGTCCCAAAACCATTGCTTTTGCACCTTTGTCAAAAATATATTGGCCATATCAGTGTCAGCCTATTTCAATCTCTTTCTTGACTATCTCTTCTGTCCATTTATCTGTGTTCCTATCTCTTAGTCAGTACCATACCATCTTGTATACTGCAGCTCTAAATTAAGTCTTAAAACAAAGTAATGTTATTCCTACAAATTTAATCTTTTTTTATTTTTTGCTATAATAATTGTTGGGGTCTTTCCATATAAATTTAAAAATAGCTTGTCTATATCTGTAAAAATTTTTGCAGGTATTTTCTTTGGAATGATGTCCAGTATATAGCTCAAACTTGGGAGAAGTAACATTTTTACTGTGTTGAGTGTTCCAATCCAAGGAGATGGTATGTCACTCCAATTATTTAGTACTTTGATTTCTTTTTTAAACTTTTACTTTAGAATAAGGGAGTACATGTGCAAGAATGTTACAGAGGTATATTGCATGATGCTGAGGTTTGGGGAATTGACATGGAAGTGGGTAAGGGAAGTGCTGGGAAGGGAAGGGTGTGATATCTTTAAATGATACTGCATGGGGGAAGGGAAGTGCTGGTTAGAGAAGGGCATGGTCCCTAGCTAGGGCTCCACTCCTGGGCCTGTGCCCACAGACCTAGGTGAAAACAGGCACTTTTGTTTTCCTGTCCAAATGTTGCATTTCCCAAGACAACCCTGGCCTGCCACACCCCCATCCTGTGCCTATGAAAACCCTGACACCCTAGCAGGCAGACACACAGGTGGCTGGACGGCAAGAGGAACACATCAGCAGAGGAACACACAAGTGGCTGGAAGTCAAGAGGAACATATCAGTAGAAGACCGGAGCAGCTAGATGTGGAGAGGACGTTGAGGGGAGCATGCTAGCATGCCGGCAGGCCATCAACCGGTGGAACGAGGCAGAGTTTGGTAGGGTCAGTTGGAGGAGGGCCCAAGCCACTGAGCAGCCCAACTCCAAGGGAAAACCATCTCCCTTTGGGCGCCCCCATCTGCTGAGAGCTACTTCCATTCATAAAACCTTGCACTCATTCTCCAAGCCCACATGTAATCTGTTTCTTCTGGTACAACAAGGCAAGAACCCTGGGATACAGAAAGCCCTCTGTCCTTGCGATAAGGGAGGGGTCTTATTGAGCTAACACAGCCACCTATGGTAGCTTAAACTAAAAGAGAACCCTGTAACACACATCCACTGGGGCTTCAGCTGTAAACATGCACCCCTAGACACTGCCATGGGTTCAGAGCCCCACAGCCTGCCCATCTGTATTCTCCCCTAGAGGTTTGAGCAGTGGGGCACTGAAGAAATGAGCCACACCCCCATTGCATGCCCTGTGAGGGGCACAAGAGAACTTTTCCTGTTTCAGTATGATTGAACCTATTACACTGGTATCAAGCATAATACACATTAGGTAGTTTTCCAGCCCTTGCCACCATCTTATCCTTGCCCCTCTACTAGTCGCAAGTGTCTGTTGTTCCCATATTTATGTCCATGTGTACCCAATATTTAGCTCCTACTTGTAAGTGAGAGCATAAAGTATTCCGTTTTCTGTTCCTGCATTAGTTCTCTTAGGATAATGTGCTCAAGCTGAATCCATGTTGATGCAAAGGACATGATTTTTTTTCATGGCTGCATAGCATTTCATGATGTATATGTACATTTTCTATATCCAGTTCACTGCTGATAGGCACCTGGGTTGATTCCATGTTTTTGCTGTTGTGAATAGTGCTGCAATGGACATACAGGTGCATATGTGTTTTTGGTAGACAAATTTATTTTCATTTGGATATATATGCTGTAATGAGATCACTAGGTTGTATGGTAGTTCAACTTTTAGTTCATTGAGAAATCTCCAAATTGTTTCCCACAGTAGCTGGACGAATTCACATTCCCACAAAGAGTGTATGTGTCCCATTTTTCTGAAGCCTTGCCAACATCTGTTATTTTTTGACTTTTCATCCAAAGCCATCCTGAATGGTGTGAGATGGTGCTACATTCTGGTTTTGGTTCACATTTCTCTCATGATTAGTGATGATGAGCATTTTCTTCATGTGTGTCGATCGGTTGTATGTCTTCTTTTGAGAAATGTCTATTTACGTCCTTTGCTCACTTTTTAATGGGGTTAGTTGTTTTCTGCTTGTTCTTTTGTTTAAGTTCCTTACAGATTCTGGATATTGATCCTTTGTTAGATGCATAGTTTGTTAATATTTTCTCCCATTCAATAGGTTGCCTGTTTAATTCTTTGATAGTTCCTCTTGCTGTGAAAAAGCTATTTAGTTCAATTACATCTCACTTATACATTTTTTTGTTACAGTTGCTTTTGAGGACTTATCCATAAATTATTTGCCAAGACTGATATTGAGAAAGGTATTTCCTATGTATCCTTCAAAGTTTTTATAGTTTTAGGTCTTACGTTTAAGACTTTAAACCATCTTCAGTTATTTTTTATATGGTGATAAGTAGGCTCTAATTTTATTCTTCTGTATATGAATATCCAGTTATCCCAGAAACATTTATTGAATAGGGAGCCTTTTCCCCATTCCTTACTTTCTTGAGTTTGTCAAAGATCACATGGTTGTCAGTGTACAGCTTTATCTCTGTATTCTTTATTCTGTTCCTTTGGTCTTTGTGTTTGTTTTTGTACCAGAACCATGCTGTTTTGGTTACTGTAGACTTCTTGTATAGTTTAAAATCAGGTAACGTGATGCCTCTGGTTTTGTTCCTTTTGCTTATGATTACTATGATTATTCAGGCTCTTTTTTTATTCCATATAAATTATGGTATATGTTTTTCTAATTCTGTGTAAAATGACATTGGTAGTTTTCTAGGAATAGCAATGAATCTGTACATTTCTTTGGGCAGTATGGCCATTTTAACAATATTGATTCTTTTAATCCTTGAGCATGGAATGTTTTTCCATTTATTGGTGTTGTCGCTGATTTCTTTCAGCAGTGTTTTGTAATTCTCCTTACAGAGATCTTTCACCTCCTTGGTTAGATGTATGCTTAGGTATTTTATTTTTTGTGGCCATTAAAAATGGGATTGCGTTTTGATTTGGCTCAATCCTTATGTTACTCATGTATATAAATGTTACTGGTTTTTGTACATTGATATTTTATCCTGACATTTTACTGAAGTCTTTTTATCAGTTCTACGAGCATTGTGGCAGAGTCTTTAGGGTCTTCTGGGTATAGAATCATATCGTCAGTGAAGAGAGATATTTTGACTTCTTTTCCTATTTTGATGCCTTTTATTTCTTTCTCTTGCCTGATCCTCTGGCTAGGACTTCCAGTATTACGTTGAATAAGAGTGGTGAGAGTGGGCATTCTTTTCTTCTTCTAGTTCTCAAAAATAATGGTTCCAGCTTTTACCTGTTCGGTATGATGTTGGCTGTGTGTTTGTCATATATGGCTCTTACTATTTTGAGGTATGTTCTTTCAATGCCTAGTTTGTTGAGTGTTTTTATAATGAAGTAATGTTGGATTTTATTGAAAGTGTTTTCTGCATCTATTGAGATGATTATATGGTTATGTTTTTAATTTTGTTAATGTGATGAATCACATTTATTGATTTGCATATGTTGAACCAGTCTTGCATAGCAGAAATACAGCTTACTTTATCATGGTGAGTTAACTTTTTGATGTGCTGCTGGATATGGTTTGCAGATATTGTGTTGATTTTTGCATCTACATTTAGCAAGAATATTGGCCTAAAGTGTTTTTTTTTTTTTTCCCATTGTTGCTTTGCCAGATTTTGGTATCAGGATGAGGCTGGCTTCATAGAATGATTTAGGGAGGAGTACTTTCTGTTCAATATTTTGGAATAGTTTCACTATATAGCTGGCAAATTTAGGCTGTAAATCCATCTGGTCCAGGGCTTTTTGTGGGTGGTAGGTTTTTTAAAATTATTGTTGCTTATTCAATTTCAGAACTCATTACTGGTCTGTTTAGGCTTTCACTTTCTTTCTGGTTCAGTCTTGGGAGGTTGTGTTTTTCCAGGAATTTATTCATTTATTGTAGATTTTCTAATTTTTACACATAGAATTTTTCACAGTAGTCTCTTGAGTATCTTTTGTATTTCTGTGGGATCAGTTGTAATGTCATCTTTTAAATTTCTGACTGTGTTTATTTGGATATTTTCACTTTTGTCTTTGTTAATCTAGCTAGTAGTCTATCAATCTTATTTATTCTTTTGCAAAACCAACTTTTGGTTTCATTGATCTTTTTATGTATTTTTGCATCTCAATTTTATTCAATTCTTCTCTTATTTTATTTATTTGTTTTCTGCTGCTGGCTTTCTGGTTGGTTTGTTATTTTATTCTAGTTCTAGGTGCAATGATAAGTTGTTAAAATTGAGATTTTTCTGACTTTTTCATGTTGGCATTTACAGCTATAAACTTCCTTCTTAACACTGCTTTAACATTATCTCAAATATTTTCATAAGTTTTGTCTTTATATTAGTTTTAAGGATGTTTTGATTTCTTCCTTAATTTTATGGTTATTTCAAGAGTCATTCAAGAGCAAGTTGTTTCATATCCACATAGTAGTGGGGTTTTGAGAGGTCTTCTTGGTATTGATTTATATTTTTATTGCACTGTTATTGCAGAGTGTACTTGATATAATTTTAAATTTTTTGAATTTATTGAGATTTGTTTTATGGCCAAGCATGTGTTCATTCACTCTTAGAATATGTTCTGTGTGAAGATGAGTAGAATATATTTCTGTAGTGTTAGGTGAAAGATTCTGAACATGTCTCTTAGTTCCAGTTGGTCACGTGGTGAGTTTAAGTCCAGAATTTCTTAGTCAGTTTCCTGCCGCAATGATCTGTCTAATACCATCAGTGGGGTGTATTGTATTATGTAGTTCCCACCTTTGTCCTTCTTAATTTTTACTGGTTTAAAGTCTGTTTCATCTGACATAGGAATAATGACTCCTTCTCTTTTTCCTGTTTGCATTATAGATCTTTCTCCATCTCTTTACTTTGAGCTTGTGGGTGTCATTACATGTAAGAGGGGTCTCTTAAAGATAGCAGACAATAGGTTCTTATATTTTAATCCAACTTGCCACTCTATGCCTTTTAATGGAGACATTTATACTGTTCACATTCATTGACATGTTCGATTTTGATCCTGACATCATGTTATTAGCTGAGTGTTTTGTAGAGTTGGTTGTATAGTTGCTTTATAGTACCTGTGGGCTTTGTGCTTAAGTGTTTTTGTGGTAGCATACATCTTTCTGTCATTTCCGTGTTCAACACCCCCTTAAGGACTTCTTATAAAGCTGATCTAGTGGTGATAAATTCCCTTAGTATTTCCTTGTCTGAAAAGGACTTTATTTCTCCTTTGCTTATGAAGCTTGGTTTGTTGGGATTTTGACTTTTTGGTGGAATTTCTTTTCTTTAAGGATGCTGAATAAAAGTCCCTAATCGCTTCTGGCTTGTAAGGTTTCTGCTGGAAGTTTGATTGCTAGCCTGATGGAATTCCCTCAGTAAGTGACCTGACCCTTATCTCTAGCTGCCTTTCAGATTTTTAAATTTCTCATTGACCTTGGTGACTCTAATAACATGTGCCTTGAATTGTCATCTTTTATAGTAGTCTTACAAGGGTTTTCTGTATTTACTGAAATTTTGTATCAACCTATTTAGTAAGATGGCAAATATTTTTATAGAGTATATCCTCAAATATATTTTCCAAGTTGCTTTCTCTCTCTCCTTCTCTCTGAGAAATGCCAATAAAAAATAGGTTTGGTCTTATTACATAATAACATTTTTTGGAGGTTTTGTCTTTTTTTATATCTTTTTTGTTCATTTTTGTCTGACGGGGTAAATTTGATGAACTGGTCTTTGAGCTCTGAGATTTTTTCCTCAGCTGCGATTAATGCTTTCAACTATACTATAAAATTCTTGTAGTGAATATGTCCACTCCCAAAGGTCAGATTGGTTCTTTCTTAAAATGGCTATTTCATCTTTCAACCATTTCACCATTTTACTGGATCCTTTGGGTTCCTTGGATGGGTTTTTACCTTCTCCTGTATCTTGATGAGATTCTTTTCTATCCAGATTTTGAATTCTATGTCTGTTATTTCAGTCAGTCATTTCAATCTGGTTAAGAATCATTGCTGGGGAACTAGGGTGCTAGTTTAAACATAAGGGGCACTCTGACTTTTTGAATCATCAAAGTTCTTGAAGTTCCTCCTCTGAGATTTCTGGTGTTTCTTTGTATTTTTGACTTTTTGTTTTTTAGTCTTTACTTCTGTCGAGGATTTAGCTTCAGTATAAGTTGAGTATCATCAATTGTCTTCATTCCTCGATGCTTTCTGAGGGCCAAGGCTCTGTACCAGATCTTTATTTGTAGCCAGATTCTTGCCCTGAGTTTCACAGGTGCGGTATACTAGCAGAATATTTTGGTGTTGTCATTTTGGCCCCAATCCAGTAGATGGACTTAAGAGCAATAGACTGCAGACAGACTCTTAAGTCACCTGGCTCTTTTATATTTCAGCATATTCATAGTGGTGCTCTGTGTTGGGAGAAGGGGGAGAGAAGATCCTCTCTCCAGGTCTACTCCAGGGCCTTAGGAGAGCCCCTTCCAATCACTGGTGCCACCCCCACATTTTCTTTTTCATGTGTTCTGGGCTGTGGGACTCCTTCAGGCAGGGGCCATGGTTGGCATACAGGCTACATCCTTCTGGGGCCGACCCTGAGGAGGGAGGCACACCCCACTCCCACACAGGCCCACAAACCTGCATCTCATCCCTTTCCAGTATTCTGAGAATGGGGGCTCCTCCTCAACTCAAGCACTGGCCACATATTTCAGCTTGGTACTCCCCGTCTGTGTGCCGAAACGCTAGGGCATTGGGATCAGGCCTGTAGCTCTATCTTCTATTCCCTTTGGGTTAAGCACTAGCTGTCCTGGGGGATCTGAAGTGCTCCCAGGCCACCAAAAAAGCACTCAGTGGGAACCAATGGCAAAGCACCCAGGCTGGGCATCAGAGGCTGTGCTGTGCACATGTTCCTGCTAGAGTGGCTAGGGAGGGGAATTTGGAGGGGCTGGCAGGCAGGGGGCGCCTCTAGGACAGAGGCACCACAATCCTGTGGGAAAGATGGCTCTGCTGTCTTTGACCCACCGGTCAGCTGGAGTTAGAGGTACTCAGAGGAAAATGGGGAGCCTTGGGGGACGGGCACCTATGACTGTGCTGTGCTGCCTCGGTCTGGCATGCAAATTTTCCTGGTCTCCATGGAACTCGGAGCTCTGTCTCTGCCTACTCTTCAGGCAGATATCCCTTACAATTCAAATGCCTATGGTGGTGAGGGAGCATAGGATCTTTGCAGCTAGGATTCCAGAAGTCCACAGCGAGTGTGGGCTGCCCTGCCATCATTTCACTCATCTCTTCCCTAGGAGCCATTCAGGGCCGGGAATTCATCCTGGTCCTCTGCAGTTCCATGTAGGGTTCCCTACTTCCTCCCTCTTTGGCCTCAGTATTTATATTGTCTCTCTATAGATTCTCAGTGTTTTCTCTCTGAAGATGTGTTTGAAGCATGTTGGTTTACTCCATATTTTGGTCTCTCGGTGGGAGCAGTACTTCCTGGCTGTCTAGTCAGACATCTACGCCTTATGTTTATTTCATCAGCATTCTGTAGTTTTAACGTATAGGCCCTGCACATATTTTGGTAGATTTATACCTAAATATTTTACTTTGAGAGCTGTTGTAAGTGGTATATGTTATCTTTAGATTCTGATTTTCAATTGTCCACTGAATGTGGACATATTAGGAATATGATTAATTTTTGTGTTTTGGCCTTATATCCTATTACATTACTAAAGTCCCTGATTAATTCTAAAAGTTTTTTGTTGATATCTCCTCATTTTTTGCAGATAATCATGCCATCTGTGAATACGGGAAATTTTATTTCTTTTTTTTTCTAATTTGTATGTCTTTTTATTTTTTTCTCATTTTTTTTTTTGTAGTAGTTGAACTTCCAGCATAATGTTGAATAAGAGTAGTGAGAACAGGTGTTCTTGCCTTGTTCCTGATTTTAGGAAGAAAGTATTAAGTTTTCACCATTTAGTATTGTGGTGCCTGTACATATTTTGCAGATAAATTGAGGAAGTTTCTTTCTAGTCTTTGCAGAGAGTTTTTATGATGAGTGTTTTAGTCAGAGTTCCCTTAGAGGGGGAGAACTAATAGGATATCTATCTATTCCTCTCTCTCTCTCTCTCTCTCTCTCTCTCTCTATATATATATATATATATATATATATATGTATATAAAGGGGAATTTATTAAGTATTAACTTACATGACCACAAGGTCCCACAATAGGTTGTCTGCAAGCTGAGAAGGAAGGAGAGCCAGTCCGTGTCCCAAAACTGAAGAACTTGGAGTCCAATGTTCTAGGGCAGGAAGCATCCAGCATGGGAGAAAGTTGTAGGCTGGGAGGCTAAGCCCCGCAGTCTCCTTTTCATGTTTTTCTGCCTGCTTTATATTCACTGGAAGCTGATTAGATTGTGCCCACCATATTACGGGTGGATCTGCCTTCCCCAGCCCACTGACTCAAATCTCTTTTGGCAACACCCACACAGACACACCCAGGATTAATACTTTGTATCCCTCAATCCAATCAAGTTGACATTCAGTATTTACCATCACAAGTCCACCCCTTGTCAACTTGAACCCATACACATCTCCTGAGATCATACATAATCTTCAAATAAAGACAATACTTAGGTCATAATTACACCTAACATAATACAACTGTCCTTCGTATAACCAGAAATGCACCAATTCCAAACCCAAATACTATTACATAAAGTTAACAATACTTAAATGCTGATATGAAGTCAATAAATCTTGTCATATGATAAAAGAAAAGGAAATAAAATGAAGATGTTTTCTTAGTACAAGTATATACATGCACAAACATGTTTTTAACAAAAGAAAGAGGAAATACTCATGACAGTTACAGTCCTCATTTCTGCAGTTGGTCATGTGGTTGTAGCTGGAATTGATGACTACCTTCTTCTACTGCCCATTCTATATTCCCTTAGCTTTCAGCAAGCACCTCAGCAGGTCGTATTTTTTTTTTTTTTTTTTCCCGTGGAGTGATCCAAACCTTCATTCCTGAAGGGTCTGGGACATTTGTAGTCCTGCTTGGATTGGACTGTTGTAGTTTCCCATTGACCTGAATCACAGGGCATGGTAATATTAAGAGACATCCTAATGGATCTCCTGTATTCCATACATACTCTTCCTTACCTCCATTGCAGAGTTGTAGACTGATTTCATATCATAGTCCGGGTCAGTCACCCCAGCCAGCACTGTAATTCCCTTGTTAGCCTGTTGACTTAAAGGTAGGAGGAGCCCAAAGTGTCCAGGTGGCAATCTTAGCTTGCAGTTTAATGGAATCATTGTTGTGTCTCATGGTGGCCGTGTTCCTCCCTCTGGAACTAAGATGTCTAGGGCAGTGGAATGTAATATCACAGGTACAGGAAGCAAAAATTTTGGTAGTGGATCACTAGGGGTGATGGTGAGTGGTGCCACTTCCACCCCTTGATTCCTGGACCCATCAACCTGGCTATGGGAGAAACAGTACCATATATCAGATGCTGATTCAGAGCATATGTGGCTTTCTGGAGAACTTTGCCCCAGTCCTGCAAAGTATTGTCACCTAGTTGGTGTTGTAATTGTGACTTCAAAAGGCCATTCCACCATTCTATCAATCCATCTGCTTCAGGATGATGGGAAACACGATAAGACCAGTGAACTCCACGAGCATGAGCCCACTGCCACACCTCTTTAGCCATAAAATGAGTGCCTCGGTCAGAAGCAATGCTGTGTGGAATACCATGATGGTGGATTAGGCATTCCTTGAGTCCACAGGTGGTAGTCTTGGCAGAAGCATTGCGTGCAGGATAGGCAGACCCATATCCGGAATAAGTGCCTATTCCAGTCAGGACAAACCTCTGCCCTTTCCATGATGGAAAAGGTCCAATATAACTAACCTGCCACCAGGTGGATGGCTGATCACCCCAAGGAATGGTGCCATATTGAGGGCTCAGTGTTGGTCTCTGCTGCTGGCAAATTGGGCACTCAACAGTGGCCATAGTCAGGTCAGCCTTGGTGAGTGGAAGTCCATGTTGCTGAGCCCATGTGTAACCTCCATCCCTGCCACCATGGCCACTTTGTTCGTGGGCCCATTGGGTGATGACAGGGGTGGCTGAGGAAAGAGGCTGAGTGGTATCCTCAGAACGGGTCATCTTATCCACTTGATTATTAAACTCCTCATCTGCTGAAGTCACCCATTGGTGAGCACTCACATGGTATACAAATATCTTCACAGTTTTTGACCACTCAGAGATGTCCATCTACATACTTCTTCCCCACATTTCTTTGTCACCAATTTTCCAATCGTGCTTCTTTCAAGTCCCTGACCATCCAGCCAAACCACTGGCTACAGCCCATGAATCAGTATATAATCGCACATCTGGCCTTTTCTCCTTCCATGCAAAGTGCACAACCAGGCACACTGCTCAAAGTTCTGCCCACTGGGAAGATTTCCCTTCACCACTGTCCTTCAGGGATGTCCTAGAAAGGGGTTGTAGTGCTGTAGCTGTCCACTTTCAGGTGGTGCCTGCATATCATGCCGAACCATCTGTGAACCAGGCCCTAGTCTTCTCTTCCTCTGTCAACTGATCATAGGGAACTCCCCATGAGATCATTGGTTCAGGCTGGGGTAGAGAAGGCAGGATGTCAGGAGTGGAGACCATGGGTATTTGGGCCACTTACTCATGTAACTTACTTGTACCTTCAAGACCTGCTCGAGCCCAATCACGTATATACCACTTCAATTTCATGATGCTGCTGTGCGTGACCCACTTTGTGGCCTGATGAGTCAGAAAGCATACAGTTCATGATAGGCAGTTCGCGTCGCACGATGACTTGATGACCCATAGTCAAACGTTCAGTTTCCACGAAAGCACAGTAACAGGCCAAGAGCAGTCTCTCAAAAGGAGAGTAGTTATCTGCAGAAGATGGCAGGGCCTTACTCCAAAATCCTAGAGGCCTCTGCTGTGATTCACCTATGGGTGCCTGCCAAAGGATCCAAACAGCATCCCTATCTGCCATTAACACCTCAAGCACCATTGGATCTGCTGGGTCATATGGCCTAAGTGGCAGAGCAACTTGCACAACCTGGTCCTGTTGCAGAGCCTTCTCCTCTTCTTGGACCCCACTCAAAACTGGCAGCCTTTCAGGTCACTTGATAAATGGGCCATAGTAACACACCCAAATGAGGAATGTGTTGCCTCCAAAGTCTAAATAGGCCCACTAGGCATTGTGCCTCTTTCTTGGATGTAGGAGGGGCCAAATGCAGCAACTTGTCCTTTACCTTAGAAGGAATATCTCAATAGGTCCCACACCACTGGATCCCTAGAAATTTTACTGAGGTAGAAGCTCCCTGAATTTTTGTTGGATTTATTTTCCATCCTCTGGCATGCAAATTTCTCACCCATGAGTCCAGTGTGTTGGATCCATTCAGCATAATGTCATCAATGTAATGTACCAGTGTGATAGCTTGCAGAAGCAAAAAGCAATCAAAATCTCTCCCAATAAGATTATGACACAAAGCTGGAGAGTTGATATACACCTGAAGTAGGATAGTAAAGATATATTGCTGGCCTTGCCAGCTGAAGGCAAATTGCTTCTGGTGGGTATTATGGACAGGAATCGAGAAAAAGGCATTTCCCAAGTCAATGGCTGCATACCAGGTAGCAGGAGATGTGTTAATTTGCTCAAGCAATGAAACCACATCTGGTACAGCACCTGCAAATGGCATAACCACTTGGTTAAGCTTATGATAATCCACTGTCATTCTCTAAGATCCATCTGTCTTCTGCACAGGCCAAATGAGAGTGTTGAACAGGGATGTGGTGGAAATTACCACCCCTGCATCCTTCATGTCCTTGATGGTGACACTGATCTCTGCAATCACTCCATGGATGTGATATTGTTTTTGAATTACTATATTTATAAGTAGGGGCAGCTGTAATGGCTTCCATTTGTCCTTTCCCACCATAGTAGCCCTCACCCTACCAGTCAGGGAGCCAACGTGGGGGTCCTGCCAGCTGCTAAGTACGTCTCTATGCCAATTGTGCATTCTGGCACTGGGGAAATGACCACAGGATGAGACTGGGAACTCACTGGACCCACTGTAAGTCAGACCTGAGCTAAAACTCCATTAATTATCTGACCTCCATAAGCCCCTACTTTAACTGGAGAACCAAAATGACATTTTGGATCCCCTGGAATCAATATCAGCTCAAAGCCAGTGTATGGTAGTCTCCAAAATGTCTGATCATTTCCCTTTCCTCAATGCACAGTTACCCTGGTAAAAGGCCAGAGGTCTCATTGGGGAAGAATGGGAGAAAGACTCACTGCATACATTGTCAGTAATATAGTGGGGTCCTTCCTCAAGGGGACCTGGCCTCCCCTTCATTCAAGAGGTCCTGGGTCTGTAAACTGGTTCAAGTCTGGAAATTGATTGAGGGGCTATGATTCTCTGTTTGTATAACTCAAATTAGTCTTTTGTCCATTCAATCTAGAAGTTTTCTGTTTGTATAATTTAAGTAGAAATGCAGTAGGCTTCCTATTAATTTCACTTCTAGGAACACCATGATTAATTAGCCAATGCCAGAGCTCTACACGAGTCAGACAATTCTGATTGTGGCTTTGCCTCTGCTGTCCATTGTGGTAGCTACGCCCACCTTGACTTTGACAGTTGAGTGCTGCCACTTGGCCCCTGCCACCTCAGGATCCAATTATTCCCATTGTATTTAAATTTTGTAGTTGAGTGACTGCAGTTCCCACTGTTAGATCTGACATACAGAGAAAAGCAATTACAGGGCTCTTCAAAGATGCAGGTGCTGCCCTTACAAATCTATTTCACAAGGCATTGGTCAAGGGTATATTTTCTGGAACCCTCCTCCCCCCTGACAGCAGGAATGAGTAGGTCTAAAGTGACTAATCCACTCCACCATCCCAATCTCTGTAAGCCTTTGGATCCCTTCCTCTACATTAACCCAAGAGAGATCAGGCATTTCCAGCTCACTCACAGTGGGCCATCTTTTAATCCATATTTCAGCTAACCAAGCAAATAAACTTTTAGAACCTTTTTAAACTCCCTGAGCTGCAACATTAAATGCAGTTTCAACTTAATGGACCCAAATCAATAAATTCAGCCTGATCCAACTATGTTCCTTCCACCATTATCCCATACCCTTAATATCCATTCCCATACCTGTTCTCCAGATTGGCTGTTCATATAAATTAGAGAACTCAAAACAGTTTTTTTTTAGTGTGTGCACCTCCTCATGGGTCACACTCTCAACCTCACCTCTAAGGGCTTGCAGGGACTTTAGTGTATACATCTAGAGGTAAACAGAGGTGTTGGGATTGGCTTCTGTGGAGAATCAACATTATCATTCCTGACAACTGCCTCAGGCAATGCAGGGTTTATCTCCTCAGACAAAGGTGGGAAGGCTGATGGCAATATGGGTGGGGCAGGGAGTGGTGGAGTGTTGCTAATACCGGGGATGGGGTAGCTGTTCCTTCTAGCAAAAAAGGTTCATCAGAATTTACAAACTCATTGTCCTCCTTCATCAGGGTCTTCCCACACATCCCCATTCCAAGATGCAGGGTCCCACTCTTTTCCAATCAATGCCCTCACTTTAATGGTAGGCACCTGGCAAGGCTGTGCACACACCTTTTGTTGCAGGTCAGCCACTTGCATGATAAGAGCTTGTGTCTGTATTTCCACAATCTCAGTTCTTTCTCTACAGGAGATAAAATTCTCACTCAGGGAAATCTTAGCAGATTTGAGTCTCAGTATTTGCTTCTGAAGCTGGGAGACAGAATCCCTGAGTTCATCATTTTCTTTCATTACTTGGTCTACTGAACTTAGGAGCAATCAACCAGTTTCACTACATTCCTTGGTTCTCCACATCTGGTCAAAGGTATTATATAGAGAGCCACTGAACTCCTTGCCTCTCACGAGCAGTGAATCAGGAGTGTCAAACTCATTTATTTTGCATAACTCTCTGAACAGTTCATGCCAAGGACTATGAGTGTTCTTCACACTATTAGAAGTTGAGTCCAACTTACACACTCACAAGATTTCACAATAGGCTGTCTGCAAACTGAGGAGCAAGGAGAGCCAGTCCAAGCCCCAAAACTGAAGAACTTGGAGCCTGTTGTTGGAGGGCAGGAAGCATCCAGCACAGTAGAAAGATGTAGGCTGGGAGACTAGGCCTGTCGTCTCCTTTTCATGTTTTTCTGCCTGCTTCATATTTCCTGGCAGCTATTTAGATTATGTCCACCAGATTAAGGGTGGATCTGCCTTCCCCAGCCCACTGACTCAAATGTTAATTTCTTTTGGCAACATCCACACAGACACACCCAAAATAAATACTTTGTATCCCTCAATGCAATCAAGTTGACCCTTAATATTAACCTTCACAATTAGTAAATGTTCAGTTTTGTCAAAAATGTTATTGATCTATTGATATGTTCACATGATTGCTATCTGGGCTTGGAGATTTTATTTCTGTAAATTTTTAACTACAAGTTTAATTTTTTTGATGTTTATGACTACTCAGATTATGCATTTTATTTTGGTTGAGTTTTGGTATTATGTGTTTTTCAAGGAATTGGCCTGTTTTATTTAGTTTGCCAAATATATGTGGTTAGAGTTGTCTGCAGCATTTCTTTTTTTTTTTTTTTTTTGAGATGGAGTCTCGCTCTGTCACCCAGGCTGGAGTACAGTGGTGCAATCTCAGCTCACTGCAGCTTCCACCTCCCGGGTTCAAGCAATTCTCTGCCTCAGCCGCCTGAGTAGCTGGGATTACAGGCACCCACTACCATGCCCAGCTAATTTTTGTATTTTTAGTAGAGATGGGATTTCACCATCTTGGCCAGGCTGGTCTTGAACTCCTGACCTCGTGATCCACCCTCCTTGGCCTCCCAAATTGCTGGGATTACAGGCGTGAGCCACCGTGCCCAGCCTACAGTATTTCTTTATTATCCTTTTAATGTTTGCATAATCTGTAATGGTATTCATCATTTCATTCAATATATTTTTAATCCATGTACTCTTTTATTTTAGTCTCATTAATAAAATAAAATAAAAATTGGTTAGCCAATTTATGAATCTTTAACAGAAACATGCCTGATTATATTGCTTTTCTGCATTATTTGTTTTCAAATATGTTGCTTTCTGATCTCAAATTTGTGAATTCCTTCATTCTTTTGGATTGTGTTTATTTTTCTTTTTCTAGTTTCTGGAAGTGACAGCTTAGATTTCTGATTACAGTCTTTTACTCTTCTCTAACTGTTTTGCCATAAATTTTCACTATGCATTGTTTTAGCGATGTTATTCAAATTTGACATGTTGAGTTTCCATTTTCATTGAGCTAAAGTATAAACTTTAATTTTTCTGAGACTTCTCTGACATATAGATTATTTATATTTGTACTAATTTTGCAATGTTTGGAGGTTTTCGTATTATCATTCCTTTTCTGATTTCTAGTCTAATTCCATTATGGATATATAGCAGACTTTGTATAATTTTTAACTCATAAATTTGTTAAAGTATGTTTTATAACCCAACAAATTGGTTAATATACATTGTTGTTGTTCACTAAGCTTCTGAAATCTATATATTTATATATTTGAATTAAATATTTTTGATGTACTGTATTCTTTCTCTTTTTTGGCAACTTGAATTACATAAATGTTAGACCTTTTAATATTACGCCACTTGGTGTTGGGGCTCTGCTTATTTTGTATCAGCCTTTTCTTTTTGCTCACATGGGATAATTTGTATTAATCTTTCTTTAAGTTTACTGATTTTTCTGTCATCTTTTTCTACTATGTAGCCTATCTAATGAGTTTTTATTTTGATTATTCTATCTTTAAGTCTGTAATTCACATTTTTTATATCTTTTATATTTTGCTGAGATTTTTAACAGTATTTTTCTATTTAAATAATATTTTAATTTCTGTTAGTGCATTATTAAATAGTTGCTTAAAATATTTTTCTGCTAATTCCAACATCTTTGTCATCTTAGCTTTACCATTTATTGAGTGTCTTTTCCCATTTGAATTTGTGATTTCCCTAGTTTTGTATCAAGTAATTTTTTAAATTTTACTTTCAATTCCAGGATACATGTGCAGAATGTGCAGGTTTGTTACACAGGTATACATGTGCCCTGGTGGTTTGCTGCACCCATCAACCTGTCATCTAGGTTTTAAGCCCCGCATACATTAGATATTTGTCTTAATGCTTTCCCTTCCCTTGACCCTCACCCCCCAACAGACCCCAGTGTTTGTTGTTTCCCTCCCTGTGTCCATGTGTTCTCATGGTTCAACTCCCACTTAAGAGTGAGAACATGCGGTGTTTGGTTTTCTGTTCCTGTGTTTGTTTGCTGAAGATGACGGCTTCCAGCTTCATCCATGTCCCTGTAAAGGACATGATCTCATTCTTTTAACGGTTTTGTAGTATTCCATGGTGTATATGTGCCACATTTTCCTCATCCAGTATATCATTGATGGGCATTTGGGTTGGTTTCATGTCTTTGCTATTGTAAATAGTGCTGCAATAAACATACATGTGCATGTTTCTTTATAGCAGAATAATTTATATTCCTTTGGGTATATACTTAGTAATGGGATTGCTGGGTCAAATGGTGTTTCTGGTTCTAGACCCTTGAGGAATTGCCATACTGTCTTCCACAATGGTTGAACTAATTTAGATTCCCACCAACAGTGTAAAAGCATTCCTGTTTCTCCACAGCCTCACTAGCATCTATTGCTTCTTGACTTTTTAATAATCACCATTCTGACTGGCATGAGATGGTATCTCATTGTGGTTTTGATTTGCATTTCTCTAATGATCAGTGATGATGAGCTTTTTTTCATATGTTTGTTGGCCACATAAATGTCTTCTTTTGAGAAGTGTCTTTTCATATCCTTTGTCCACTTTTTGATGGGTTTGCTACTTTCTTGTAAATTTGTTTAAGTTCCTTGTAGATTCTGCATACTAGACCTTGTTCAGATGGGTAGATTGCGAAAATTTTCTCCCATTTTGTAGGTTGTCTGTTCACTCTGATGCTAGTTTCTTTTGCTGTGCAGAAGCTCTTTAGTTTAATTAAATTCTATTTGTTAATTTTGGCTTTTGTTGCAATTGCTTTTGGTGTTTTCATCATGAAGTCTTTGCCCATGCCCATGTCCTGAATGGTATTGCCGAAGTTTTCTTTTGGGGATTTTATGGTTTTGGGTTTTACATTTAAGTCTTTAATCCATCTTGAGTTAATTTTTGTTTAAGGTGTAAGAAAGGGGTCCAGTTTTAGTTGTCTGCATATTGTGCCAAGTGAGTTTGAATTGTGTTCTGGATGTTATTAGAATATGAAGTCTTCTTTAGCTAGTGGAGAAGACTTATCCAGTGGTTACTTTTGTTATAGCAAGCAATCTAACCTGTTGTGTTCAGGACACAAGTTCTGAAGTCATTTGTGGGTTGTGGTTTTAATGCCAGTACAGTGGTATTTGTTTTTGTTTTAAAATAGTTTATAGAGGTATAATTAACACAAAAAGCTGTACATATTTAGCGTATACAATTTAGTGAGTCTGGAGATAAATATACACCCATAAAACTATCACCAAAATTAATGCCATAAACATATATATCACCTACAAAAGTTTTTTCTTGCCTTTTTCCTTTCTTTTTTGTGGTGAAGAGACATACAATTAGACTCACCATCTTAGTAAATTTTTAAGTATATAATTCAGTATTGCTAATTATAGGCACTATGCTGTACAGTAGCTCTCTAGCATCTATTCATATTGAATAACTGAAATTTTGTAAACTTTGAAAAATACATCTCTGTTTCCACCTCCTCCAAGCCCCTGGAAACCATCATTCCACAATCTCTTTTTTCAATGAAAGCAAAAATAGACAAATGGATTGGATGAAACTAAAAAGCTTCTGCACAGAAAAAAGTTCAGTATTATTTGGATCTCTTCCACATGTGTATCATTCACTTAGATCTTGGAAGTTGTCTATCTTTGTGTTTAGAATAAAATCTGTGGATGTACAGCTTTGAGGTAAATTTAGAACTTCATAAACAACTTTTTGGGTTCACTTGCTTGACCACCTCCCCCTCCAAAACACCCCCAATACTTTCCAGTTTCTTGGGATTCCCCATTTTAATCCTCTGGCCATATATATCCAGGGCCATATTTACTCTGCTCTGCTGCATACTTTTTGTGTCTTAGCCCAAGTACTGGTGCAAATAGCAGGAAGAGAGAAAAAAAAATTTTAATGTAAAGTTTGTCCTGTCTTTGGGTTTCAGTCTCCTGCAAGACCCTCTTTCACTATTGGCATCATATATAATAATAATAATAAGATATAATATAATATAATATAATATAATATAAATCTTCAATATTTTTTCAATTATTTTGTTATTTTGTCCATATAAATCCTGTCTCCTACCACCACCAATGCCACCTCCTTTGTATAGATGCACTAATCAGTGTGTTCAAGCTCTGATTCCACACACCAGGCTATTTTTCTGCATTGATGTTCTCCTCACACTTCTCAGGCTATTTTGCAGATATGTTTTAAGTCCACAGTGTTTCCTTGGCCCCTCTAATCAGAGGGATTCAGTCTTCAAACCTTATTTCTTCTGAATATTTTATCAGTGTTGGGTTTCAGGCTTTGTTAGTGTAAATCGAGGTTAACTCTTAACCTAGGGCGTTTTTCTAACTCGTCAATTGTGGCATTTCTGGGGTCACATGCTTGGGAGTTAATCAGAATATAAGATGGTCCTTAAACTCTACAAGGTCTGGCTTTTCAACATTCCTGAAGACTGTTTGACCTTTGTTATCTCTCTTCCCTTCTTATGATATAGAAGTTATTCTGACATAAGCCTCATATCATCTCACCCAGAGCATGAAAAGTCTAGTTCTTGGCCAAGGACTTATACAGAATACAGACTTCTGGGTCACTGCTGGGTAGCATCCTCCCTTTCAATACTCTGTTCCACAGATTATAATCCCTTTAGCTGATCTGAATCTGTGATCAGAACCACTGTGTTCAGCTATGGCTAATGTTACTGTTACTAAATAGTTTGTTATATTTAAAAACAGTCTTTCAACTTAGTATCTTCATATCTATGATAAAAAATTCAGAAAATAGTTAAGGAAACAGCTCATTTTTACAGAAAGTGGCTTCTCAAATGTCTAATTCCTTAACGTTCTCATCTGGAAGAATTCTGTCACTTTATGGTCTTTATTATTGTCTCCTTTCAAACACAATAAAGTCAGATTTCTGTTTTGGACTATGAGAGTGTAGCTAGCATCAGCATAACCCTTTCTGCCGAGAACAAATATGAAAGTTGGATACACTTTTAAGAAGAATTATATTGGAATATAATTCATATACCAAAAGAGTCACTCATTTAAAGAGTATAAATCAATGATTTTTTAGTAATTTACAGATGTGTAAAACCTTTACTATAGTCAATTTTAGAATATTTTTATTACCCCAAAGAAATAACAGCTCTGTACATGTTACCTATTATTTCTATTCACCCATATCCCAACCCTAGGAAACCACTAATTTACTTTATCTATTGAATTGTCTATTCTTGCCATTTAATATAAATTAATCATATAATATATGAACTTGTGACTGACTTCTTTCACTTTACATAATATTTTTAAGATTAATCCTTGTTATATCATGTTCCATTAAGTATATCATTCCTTTTTATGTTTGAGTGATATATATACATTTGGTTTATCAATTCATCAAAGAACACTTGAATTTTTATTTTTTGTCTAATATGAATAATGCTGCTATGAACATTTATGTATAAGTTTGTATCTTTATGTATGTTTTTATTTCTATTGGGTAGACACCTAGGAGTGAAATAATTGCTGGATAGTATGGTATTACTCTATTTACTTATTTGTGAAACTGTCATCCTATTTTACAAAAGGCCTGAGCTGTTTTTCATTCTCACCAGAAATGTATGAATGTTCAAATTTCTCCACCTCTTCAACATTTGTTGTTACCTGACTTTTTGATTAAAGCCATCCTAGTGCACGTGAGATGGTTTATCATGACGGTTTTGACTCACAATACCATGATTAGTAATGATTTTGAACAATTTTTTCACTTGTTTATTGGCCATTTGTATATCTTTTTGGAGAAATCTCTATTCAACTCTGTTGCCCATCTTTTAGTTGGGTCATATTTTTTATTGTTAAATTGTGAGTATTCTTTATATATTTTAGTTATAAGTTCATTAAAAAAATATGATTTGCAAATATTTTATCCCATACTTTGGGTACTGTTTTCACATTCTTGATAGTGTCACTTGAATTACAAAAGTTTTTCATTTTGATAAAGTCTTATTCATTTTTTTCTTGTGTTATTTATGCTTCTGGTGTTGTATCTAAGAATTCATTGCAAAATTCAAGTTCAAAAATTTTACTCTTGTTTTCTTCTGTGAGTTTTATAGATTTAGCACTTATACTTACATACTCGATCCATTTAAAGTCAATTTTTGATATGTTGTGATGTAAGACTCCAACTTCACTCTTTTGCATGTGGCTCTTTTGTTATCTCAAACCATTTGTTGAAGACTATTTCCAAATTGAATGATCTTGACACCCTTCTCAAAAATTGATACATTTTAAAAAGTTGACTGAAGGTATCAGAGAATAACCTAGCCAAGCACAAGATGAGAAGCTAACACATTGAGGCAAGATCTGCATTGTCATTTTTACTCTTGGTACATTTGTCAATTCTCCATTCAATGTATAAATGCTAAACAGAATGCAGCAACCTGTATGTTACAGCAGCCTCCCTGGACTGGAGCAACAAAATTGAAATTTCCTGCTACAAAGTAGTCTGGAGACACAGGGCCAAAGTCTCAGAGAAAAGGAAGTTTCAGAGAACTGACCTTGATTTTGTGCAAGAAATTCTCTCTTGAGTTGGTATTGTACCCATGACGTGGGTTAGAGGCAGATAAGTAAAGGAGATGCTATAATAGCTTTACAGAGCCAGAATGTATAGAAAAGAATTCAATAAATATGTTATTCTGGGGAAAAGAGAATCTAGATTCAGGGCTTTTTTTTTTTTTCTTCATTTGAGGTCCAGGAAGGGCCTTATCCTATGTATAAAGTCAAACCATATATAGACCAATATTTTATGCATCAAAATTATTCATTCCTACACTACTTGCCAGTGAGGAAAAAAATATAAATCTTCGTGGAGAAAAATGACATCATCTAAAGCTTTTATAGTTTTTGATACAGCATATCCAGCACCAAAAAACCATTGCCAGGAAATATGATAGGCTTTGTGTCCCCACCCAAATCTCATCTTAAATTGTAATCCCCAGGTGTTCAGGGATACCTGGAGGGAAGTGATTGGATTAAGGGGGCATTTTTCCCCCATGTTGTTCTCCTAATATTGAGTGAGTTCTCACAAAATCTGATGGTTTTATAAGGCAATTTTCCCTGCTCTTGCTGGCACTCTCCTGCCGCCATGTGAAAAGGTCCAAGTTTGCATTCCCTTCACCTTCCACCATGATTGTAAGTTTCCTAGGCCTCCGCAGACATGTGGAGCTATAAGTCAATTAAACTTCTTTTCTGTATAAATTACCCAGTCTCCAGTAGTATCTTTATAAGAGTGTGAGAATGAACTAATACAGGCCACATGGTTGAAAACCAATAGAGAAAAAAAAAGACATAATATACAAAGGTATCACAGAATATCAAAGTTATCAAGGTCATCTGAGCCAGGCATTAAAAGAGCTACACTTAATATTTTCAAGAAAATGGATTAAAAGATAGATAATTTCAATAGAAATATGAAATCTATAGCAAAAAATCAAATAGAAGCTCTAGAACTTAAACATACAACAATTGATATTAAGAAGTAAATATTAAGATGCAAATAGTAGGATATACATAACAAAAAAATTATCAGTGCAGTTGAAAGAAAATGAAGAGATTTCTGATTCCTTGCAGCTGCAAGTTTGCCCGGCTTAGCACACAAAAGTACAGGATACTCAGCCAAATTTGAACTTTATATAAGCAATAAATAATTTTAGTGGAAAAAATTACTTAAATATTATTTAGAAGCTTACTTATTGTGAATTTGAATTTCAAATTTATTTGGGCCTCCCTCATTTTATCTCAAAACCCTAATCTGCTTAACTTTTCATTACATGAATTTGCAATATTCTTGCATTTTGAAATATATAGGTTCATAGGTGCCTTAAAATATATTCACTGTGTGACTCATTTGAAATATTATTTTCTTGTTTCTCAAAATATATAAAATCTTTGTCTAACAAAATCTAGGCATAATTACCTTAAGGTATTTACAGTTGTTTACATTTTCTGTAAACACAATATTTTTCCAGTAACTCCAATGTTTTCCCATCGTTTCTAAAGCATTTTACTTCGTCATATAACTTCTCTTTTCTTGAATTTTTTCTGGCACTACTTTAAAAATACATACAAACAATCAAGTTAATATTGACCCTGTCCTCCTACCCCATGACTATCTTCTACCGCAGTATCCAATTGAATAATTTCATAATTGCACCAAGTTGTTAATTTTTCTAAAGTTGTTGATTCTCATTTTGTAATGCATATACACACATTAATGGTTTGTGCATGTGTTCCTTTTATATAAAAATGTGTTTCTTTTATCTATTTGTTGGTTATGTCACTTGCAAATTTGTGCAACGGTCTACCCATCATAAAGATTCGTTTGCTTTCTCAACCAGTCTGATTGTTGATTCTGACTTCAGAGGATAAGGTAAACAAACTATTCATGTAATGGGGACTCATTCTGACAGGTATATTTCTGACATTTTGAGCTTATAAAAATCAGGTTTACAAACACCGCGTGTTCTCACTCATAGGTGGGAATTGAACAACGAGAACACATGGACACAGGAAGGGGAACATCACACTCCGGGGACTGTTGTGGGGTGGGGGGAGGGGGGAGGGATAGCATTAGGAGATATACCTAACGCTAAATGACGAGTTAATGGGTGCAGCACACCAACATGGCACATGTATACATATGTAACAAACCTGCACATTGTGCACATGTACCCTAAAACTTAAAGTATAATAATAATAAAATTTAAAATAAATGGAAATAAAGTCAAAAAAAAAAAAAGGAACCATTAAGTAGGAGAGAGATGTGAAGAAAGTTACAGGTACAGAAGTGTATTTTTGGTAAGAAAGATTTTCTATAAAAAATGCGGTAAATTTTTGTCCTAAGGTAAAAGGACCGGTTATTTAGGAAGGAGAAAATATAGGAGAAAAGAGAAAGTCTAAGCTTGTCATCAAAGGTTCATGCAGGTCATATAAGATTGTGAAGGATGAATTTGTAAAAGGAATTTTGTGTGTGATCAAGTTGGCTATAATTAAAAGGGTGTTATTTATGAGTCTTTCTAAAGATTGAGCTTTGATATTAAAAATACACTGATATTAAAAAAATCAGGTTTATGATACCTATGTGTCTTACAAATTACTTCCAATGGCTTTCATTTTATTTTTCTCTTCCTTATGCCAGTACCACTACCACTTTCTTAAATGTGCATTGATATTTTAGTGGATTCCAAATGACCTTTTATTTATTTATTGGCATTTTTTATGGAGCATCTATATGAAAAAAATTTCCTCTTTTCAAAATTTGGCTGTAAAATATGCACACAGGTACCATAAGGACACACTCTGAATTTAACTACTCATTTTCCAAGTTGTAGTTACAGATATAGGAAAATATTAAAAGTGTATATTTCTTTAGAGCTAGTGATTAGTATGCTATTCTGACACAATATATATTCATAACAGCTGTGTTCTGTCTATAGCTTTTCTGTCGCATGCTAACCAATGTGTATTGGAATAACTTGAAAAGCATTAAGAGATTTGCAGTCCTTCCAGGTATGAAAATTCAGTAAGTAAATATTTTTATTCATAGAATTTATGTGAATGGAAATGATTGTTCCCTAAAAAGTACTTGCCTATTTCTGAGGTATTTCTTGATACTGACAAAAATCTTCCAAAACCGTTAAGCCAACAAAAGATCAGATTTATATAATCAAATTTGCACATTATATACTAGGCTTTAATTCAAAAACTGTAAATTACTGAAGCATGCAACATTTCCAAACAGCTCTCTGTAGAAGTATTGAATAGGATTTTCCAAATCGTAGAAGTTTGGTAAACAAATGAACACCTATGAGCTGTATTCATCTTCCTAAAGAAAGAGCCAATTTATATATCAAATAATGTGACCTTGTGTGTGCTATTTCAATAACATGTTTTTAGTCCAATGCTATATAAACTTTTGTAATAGTTAAAATCATACTGACTAAATGATTTATAGTTTCCAAAACAAAGCCAGATGTATTTCTAGGCTTTTGACAGAAAAAATGTCTAAATAAATTATGTTGTGTACAGACGTGTGTGTACATATATTTATAAATATATATGATATATATATACACACATATATGTATATTTGCAATAATATGTATATATACACATAAATTTAATGTTTCCTTGTACATCATCTTCTTATCTTGAAAATTCAAAGTCTGAGGCATTGGGGCATGGAATATGTATTTAATTTCTAGTTACCTAAAATTAAAGAACTTTCCCGAATAAGATTTATTTTGTATGAGGGACAGTCTCTGGAAATTTTTAGAATATGCAGATAATTTGTGATACACTTACATAATAGTAGATAATGAAATCTGTTATATTCCTAGTGCAATTGGTTTTTACACAAATTTTATATAATTCTGCTTGTTATGTTTCTATGTGCATTATTGTAAAACAAATTATGAATTAAACAAGTTGATCAACACTTTTTAATTCCATGTGATATTGGTACCTACATAAGCTGTTTATTTTTAACTAAAGTTTTTATTATTAAAAGCACATTCTCAAGTAAAAATGCAAAAGCACAGGAATGTATAGAATGAAAAATCTTATATCCCCTCACTACTATCATTCCAATCTACAAAGATACTATTAAAAATTTTGCATGTCTGTATCCTTCAAGAATTGGTTTACAGAGGTACAAATCTATGCACACAGATAATAGGTTGAGAGAGAGGGAGAAAGTAGGTAGTTACACAGCTATATATAAATACACACGTGTACACACACATACTACAATAAATAGTATAATGGTCTCTGGACCAGTATATGAGTACATCCATAAATAAATTCCAAGATGTAGAACAAAAAATGTGTTTTAAATTCTAATAGATATAGTCAGATCCTCCTTCCCCTCAAATAAGTAACTTACTTTTCCACTACAAATATCAAAGTATGAGTTTTTCAACCTATTCAACAGTGAACTTTATCAAAATTTAACTCATTACTGCTTTGATAGATAAAATATAGTACCTCTTTGGTACTATTTCAACAGCTGTATTTTTTCAAGTCCACATAGCACTTGTGTTAATGAAATAAATTGCAGATTGGGCAAAGATATAAACATGGGCAAATTATTTTTATAATTTTGGAAGTCTTGGTCTTCCTAAGAATAACTAAAATCCTACAAATCATATTAAAAGTTTACTCAATTGTATCTCATTTATATTAAAACCCAATATATATTTGAGAGTATTTCTAAAATGCCTGTGTTCTTATCTTTGTTGATCTATTCAAAAAGAGTATCAAATTATTATTTTTTTTTCGGAGATGGGGTCTCACTCTGTCACCCAGGCTGGAGTGCAGAGGCATAATCTCAGCTCACAGCCACCCACGCTTCCAGGGCTCAAGTGATTCTCCCACCTCAGCCTCCCGAGTAGTTGGGACTACAGGTGCACACCACCACACCAAGCTAATTTTTGTATTTTTTGTAAAGATGGAGTTTCACAATGTAGCCCAGACATAAGCAATCCGCCCACCTCAGCCTCCCAAAGTGCTAGGATTGCAGGCGTGAGCCACCGCACCCAGACACAAGGAAGACTATCAAATTCTTAATTGCCATATCTTATTTTAAAATCTGGAAGAAGGGCCAATATGACTAATTATTATTTTTTATTAGTGGCCATCTGGGTAATTTATAGATACATTTCAATGTAAATTTGTCAGGATAGTTAATATATTATCATTTTTATTTGAATAATATTTAATTTTGATATAAATATAAGGAACAGGGATATCTTCTCTGGATTATTTAAGACCCAAAACAAAGAATAGTTGTGTATTAATTTAGCTCTTAATTATTTCAAGAGAGTTTTAAATGCCATGCACCAAACTCGTCAAATATCTCAGTGTTTCATACCTGTTGCTGATGTAAAGGATATATTTTCTTTCCTTATAATTTCCAATTAATTACTTTCTATATATTGAAAATCTATTGCACTTTGTATATGAATTTTGTACCCAGCTATCATACTGAATTACACTATTGATGTTAATTGCTGTGCAAAGATTGCTTTCAAGAATGCAGTCATATAATCTAAAAATATCATTCATGTTTTTCTAAGTATTTATTCCTTATTTCTTGTAGTTATCTAATGATGTTATCCAGGAAATTCAGAAAAGCATATGGGTGGTGATAAAATGCATTGTTGCTTTACTCATAGCTAGAGCTTTCTAATAAAAATGATGTCGGTTTTGTTGTGAGATATGTATACTGAGCTATATCTAGCACTTTGAAAGAAATATCAAACTACTACTATCTTCTTAAGAGGTTTTTTTGTTGAATTATAGGTCTGCAGGGTACATGCACAGGTTTGATACATGCATATGTTGTATACTGACGGGGTTTGGGTTTCTAGTGAGCACATTACGCAAATAGTAAGCATAGTACCCAATAGGTAGTTTTTCAAACACTGCCATCCTCCCTGCTTCTCCTGTCTTTTAGTCCCTAGTATCTATTGTTTCCATTTTTAGGTCCATGGGTACCCATTGTTTATCTCCCACTTATAAATGCAAACATGCCATATTTTTTTGTTTTTGCATTACTTCACTTAGAATAATAGCCTAGAGCTGCATCCATGTTGCTGAAAAAAGCATAATTTCATTATTTTTTGTAAATATGTAGTATTTTGTGATGCACTTATACGATATTATTTTTATCCAATCTACCATTGATGGAAATTTAAGTTGATTGTACACCTTTGTTGATTCAATCACTATTGTGAATAGTGCTGTGGTAAACATATGAGTGCTACTGTCTTTTGGTAGAAAGATTTATTTTTCTTCGGGTAGATACACAGTAGTGGGATTTCTGGGTCAAATGGTAGTTCCACTTTTAGTTCTTTCAGAAATCTCCATACTATTCTCTGTAGGGGTTGTACTAATTTACATTCCCACCAACAGGGTATAAGCATACCCATTTCCCACAACCTCCCCAACATGCTGTTTTTTGACGTTCTTTATTGTTATTATTATTATTATTATACTTTAAGTTTTAGGGTACATGTGCACAAGAAAAAAACACACAACCCCATCAAAAAGTGGGCGAAGGATATGAACAGAAACTTCTCAAAAGAAGACATTTATGCAGCCAAAAAACACATGAAAAAATGCTCCTCATCACTGGCCATCAGAGAAATGCAAATCAAAACCACAATGAGATACCATCTCACACCAGTTAGAATGGCAATCATTAAAAAGTCAGGAAACAACAGGTGCTGGAGAGGATGTGGAGAAATAGGAACACTTTTACACTGTTGGTGGGACTGTAAACTAGTTCAATCATTGTGGAAGTCAGTGTGGCGATTCCTCAGGGATCTAGAACTAGAAATACCATTTGACCCAGCCATCCCATTACTGGGTATATACCCAAAGGATTATAAATCATGCTGCTATAAAGACACATGCACATGTATGTTTATAGCGGCACTATTCACAATAGCAAAGACTTGGAACCAACCTAAATGTCCAACAACGATAGACTGGATTAAGAAAATGTGACGTTCTTAATAACAGCCATTTAACTGGTGTCAGATGGTATCTCGTTGTGATTTTGATTTGCATTTCTTTGATGATTAGTGATGGTGAAAATTTTTTTCATACGTTTGTTGGCCACATGTGTTTCTTCTTTGAAGGTGTGTTTTCTTTGGAGAAGTGTCTTCTCATGTTCTTTGCCCACTTTTTAATGTGGTTATTTGTTTTTTACAAGTTGATTTATTTAAGTTCCTTATAGATTTTGAATATTATTCTTTTTCTGGATGCATAGTTTGCAAATATTGTTTTTGTATTCTGTAGCTTGTCTGTTTAATCTATTGATTTTTGTTTTGCTGTGCAGAAGCTCTTTAGTTTAATTAAGTACCATTTGTCTATTTTTGTTTTGGATACAATTGCATTTGATGTGTTAGTCATAAATTCTTTGCCTAGGCCAATATCCATATAAGGTTTTTCTAGGTTTTCTTCTATGATTTTTTACAGTTTCAGGTCTTACATTTAAGTCTTTATCCACCTTGAGTTAGTTTTCGTGAGAAGTAAGGGTCCAGTTTCAGTCTCCTGCACATGGCTGGTGAGCTTTTCTAGCATCATTTATTGAATAGGGTGTCATTTCCCCATTGTTTATTTTTTTTAACCTTGTCAAAGATCAGTTGGTTGTATGTGTGAGCCTTCATTTCTGGGTCCTCTTTTCTTTTTCACTTATCTGTGTGTCTATTTTTGCACCAGTACTCTAATGTTTTGGTTGCTATCGCCTTGAAGAATTTAAAGTCATGTGAAGTGATGCCTCCAGCTTTGTTCTTTTTGTTTTGGGTTGCTTTGGCTATTTGAGCTTTTTTGGGGGTTGCATATTAATTTTAGAGTTATTTTCCCTAATTCTGTGAAAAATGACATTGGCAATTATATTAGTTGGGGTTCTCTAGAGGAACAGAACTAATAGCATATGTATATGTATACATATATATACGTATATATACATATATACGTATATATACATATATATACGTATGTATACATATATACGTATATATACATATATATACATATATATATATATATATATATGGTAGTTTATTGAACATTATTAACTCACATGATCACAAGGTTCCACAATAGGCCATCTGCAAGCTGAGGAGCAAGGAAGCCAGTCTGAGTCCCAAAGCTGAATAACTTGGAGTCCAATGTTCAAGGGCAGGAAGCATCCAGCACAGGAGAAAGATGTAGGCTGGGAGGCTAGGCCAGTCTAGCCTTTTAGATTTTTCTGCCTGCTTTATATTTGCTGGTAGCTGATTAGATGGTACCCACCCAGATTAAGGGTGGATCTGCCTTCCCCAGCCCACTGATTCAAATGTTAATCTCTTTTGGCAAAACCCTTACAGACACACCCAGTCTCAATACTTTGCATCCTTCAATCCAATTAAGTTGACACTCAGTATTAATCATCACAATAGTTTAGTAAAAATTGCTTTGAATCTCTATACTGCACTGGGAGGTATGGTCATTTTAACAATATTGATCTTTACAATCCATGAGTATGGAAAGTTTTTACAGAGGTGTGTGTCTGTCATCTACTATTTCTTTCATTAATGTTTTATAGTTCTCCTTGTAGAGGTATTTCACCAATTTGGTTAAATGTATTCCTAGGAATTTTATTTTTGTGTGATTATTATAAATGGGATTGAGATTTTTATGTGGTTCTCAGCTTGAACATTATTGGTGTATAGAAGGGCTACTGATTTTGTATGTTGATTTTGTATCCTGAAACTTTACTGAATTTATTTATCAGGGAGGGAGTCTTTGGAGGAGACTTTGGGCTTTCTAGATATAGAATCATGCCATTATAGGCAGAGATAATCTGACTTCCTCTTTTCCAGTTTGAATGACTTTTATTTCTTTCTCTTGCCTGGTTTCTCTTGCTGTGACTTCCAGTACTATGTTGAGTAGGAGTGGTGACAGTGGACATCCTTGTTTTGTTCCACTTCTTATGAGAAATACTTTTAGTCTTTTCCCAGTCAGTATGATGTTAGCCATGGATGTGTCCTGCATGGCTTTTATTATTTTGAGGTATGTTCCTTCAATGCCAAGTTTGTTGAGGGTTTTTATCATGAAGCTATGTTGGATTTTATTAAATGTTTTTTCTGCATCCAATGAGATGATCTTTTTTTTTTAGTTCTGTTTATGTGGTGAATTGTATTTATTTATTTGGATTCCAGGGATAAAAGTCACTTAATTGTGATGAATTATCCTCTTTTTTTTTTGATATGCTGCTGCATTTGATTTACTAGTATTTCACTGAAGATTTTTGTATCTATGTTCATCAAGTATATTGGCCTGTAGCTTTCTACTTTTTAGAGTCCTTACCTGATTTTGGAGTCAGAATTATACTGTTTTCATAGATTGAGTTAGAGAAGAATCCTTTGTTCTTAACTTTTTGTTATACTTTCGGCATGATTGGTGCCAACTCTTCTTTATATGTTGTGTAGGATTCAGCTGTGAATCCGTCTGATCCGGGGCTGTTTGGAATTGGTAGTTTTTTGTTTTTTTAAATATTGACTCAGTTTCATAGCTAATTATTGGTCCATTCAGGATTTGAGTTTCTTTTTGGTTCAATCCGGAGAAGTTGTGTATTCTCAGGAATGTATCCATTTTCTCTGTTTTCTAGTTTGTGTGCATAGAGATGTTCATTATAATCTCTGAGGATCCTTTGTATTTTTGTGGTATGAATTGTAATGTCACCTTTGTCATTTCTTATTGCGCTTATTTAAATCTCTTTTTAATTGGATAATCCAACTAGAGGTCTGTCACTTTTTTATACTTTCAGAGAACCACCTTTTGTTTCATTGATCCTTTGTAATGTTTTTTGTCTCAATTTCTTTTAGTTCTCCTCTGATCTTTGTTATTTCTCTTCTTCAGCTAGCTTTAGACTTGGTTTGTTCCTGATTTTCTAGTTCCTTGAGGCGCAACGTTAGGTTGTTAATTTTAGATCTTTCTAAATTTTTGATGTAGGGATTGAGTGCGGTAATCTTTCCTCTTAAAACTACTTTTGCTCTATCCCAGACGTTTGGCATAGTGTGTCTTTATGTTCATCTGTTTCTAAAATGTTTTAATTTCTGCCTTAATTTTGTTGTTCACCAGAAAGTTATTTGGGAGCAAGTTGTTTGGTTTCCATGTATTTATGTGATTTTGAGAATTCCTCTTAATATCAATTTCAAATTTTATTCCACTATTGTCAGTGAACATGCTTAATATGATTTCAATTTTTCCAATTTATTAACGTTTGCTCTATGACCAAGAATGTGGTCAATTTTACAGAATGTTCCATGCACAGATGATAAAAAATGTATATTCTGTGGTTTTGGGGGGAGTATTCTGTTGATGTCTATTAGGTCCATTTTGTCAAAAATCCAGTTTAAGTCCAGTGTTTCTTCATTACTTTTCTACCTGGATGATCTATCTTGTGCAGTCAGTGGTGTGTTGAAGTCATCCACTATTAGTCTGTGGCTGTCTGTCTCTTTTCTTAGTTCTAGTAGTATTTGTTTTATAAATCTGGGTTCTCTGATGTTGGTGCATATATATTTAGAATGGTTAAATTTTCTTGTTGAATTGAATCCTGTTTCTTTATGTGAAGCTTTTGCCTTTCTAAATAGCTTTTGGTTTAAAATCTGTTTTATGTGTTACAAGAATAGCTATCCATGCTCTTTTGTGTTTTCCATTTGCATGACTGATCTTTCTCCACTTTTTAGTTTGAGTCTGTTGGTGTCATTTTACATGAGATCGGTTTCTTGATGGAAACAGAAAATTGAGTCTTGTAATTTTTTTGGATATTTTAAATGGAGTATTTAGGCTATTTATGTTCAAAGTTAATATTAATGTGTAAAGTATTGTTCCTATCATAATGTTTTTAGCTAATTTCTTTGTAGTCTCAATTATGTAATTGCTTTATAGAATCTGTGAGCTTTGTATTCATGTGTGCTTTAATGGTAGCATGTATCATTCTTTCATTTCCATCATTAGAATTCCTTTGAGCATTTCTTGCAGGAGCAGTCTGGTGTTGATTTATTCCATTAGTGTTTGCTTATCTGGGAAATACTTTATTTCTTATTCCTTTATAAAGCTTCATTTCACAGGGCATTAAATTATTGGCTGGCATTTTTTTCTTTTATGAAGGCTAAAAATAGGCACCCCCTATCTCTTCTGTTTTATACAGTTTCTGCTGAGAAGCCTGCTGTTAGGCTGATGGAATTTCTTTTATAGGTGATTTGACCCTTTTCTCAAGCTGCCTTCAATATTTTTTCTTTAGTGTTGACTTTGGATAGTCTGATAACTATATGCCTTGGGGACCATCATCTTCTACGATGTTTCACAGGTGTTTTCTGAATTTATTGTATCTGAATGTCAACTTTTCTAGCAAAGATAAATTCTCCTGAATTATTCCCCCAAATATGTTTTCAAAGTTGCTCATTTAAAAAAAAAAATTCTTTTAGAAATGCCAAGAAGTCTAGGTTTGGTCACTTTACATAATTTAAAATTTCTCAAAATTTTCATTTATTGTTAATTATTTTTTTTAATTGCCTGAATGGTTTAATTTGAGAAACCTGACTTGAAGATATGAAATTCTTTTTTCTGCTTGGTCTAATCTACTGTTAAAGCTTCCAACTGTATTTTAAAATTCCTGTAATAAAATTTTCAATTCTAGTCTGGGGGCTGGCAAGATGGGAAATAGGAACAGCTCTGCTCTGCCGTTCCCAGTGAGATCAACTCAGAAGGCAGGTGATTTCTGCACTTCCATCTGAGGTACCTGGCTCATCTCATTGGGACTGGTTATACAGTGGGTGTAGTGGACAGAGGGTGAGCTGAAGAAGGGTGGGGCATCACCTCACCCGGGAAGCGCAAGGGGTCGAGGAATTCCCTCCCCTAGCCAAGGGAAGCTGTGAGAGACCATGCCACGAAGAATGGTGCATTCCAGCCCAGACACTGTACTTTTCCCATGGTCTTTGAAACCCACAGACCAGGAGATCCCCTTGGGTGCCTACACCACCAGGGGCCTTGCGTTTCAAGCACAAAACTAGGTGGCCGTTTGGGCAGACACTGAGTTAGCTGCAGGAGTTTTTTCTTCATACCCCAGTGGCACCTGGAATGCCAGCAAGACAGAACTGTTTACACCCCTGGAAAGGGGGCTGAAGCCAGGGAGCCAAGTGGTCTAGCTCAGCAGACCCAACCCCCATAGAGCCCAGCAAGTTAAGATCCACTGGCTTAAAATTCTCGCTGCCAGCAGAGCAATCTGAAGTTGACTTGGGACACTCAAGCTTGGTGGTGGGAGGGGCTTCTGCCATTACTAAGGCTTGAGTAGGCGGTTTTTCCCTCACAGTGTAAACAAAGCTGCTGGGAGGTTAGAACTGGACAGAGGCCACCACAGTTTGGCAAAGCTGCTGTAGCTAGACTGCCTCTCTAGTTTCCTCCTCTCTGAGCAGGGCATCTCAGAAAGAAAGGCAGCAGCCCCAATCAGAGGATTATAGATAAAGCTCCCATCTTCCTGGGACAGAACACCTGGAGTAAGGGGCGGCTGTGGGTGCAGCTTCAGCAGACTTAAATGTTCCTGCCTACTGGCTCTGAAGAGAGCAGCAGATCTCCCAGCACGGTGCTTGACCTCTGCTAAGGGACAGACTGCCTCCTCAAGTGGGTCCCTGACCTGCATGCCTCATGACTGGGAAATACCTCCCAGGAGGGATCGACAGACATCGCATACAGGAGAGCTCCAGCAGGCATCTGGCAGGTGCCCTTCTGGGATGAAGGTTCCAGAGGAAGGAAAAGGCAGCAATCTTTGCTGTTCTGCAGCCTCTGATGGTGATACTCAGGCACACAGGGACTCAAGTGGACCTCTAGCAAACTCTAGCAGACCTGCATTAGAGGGGCCTGACTGTTAGAAGGAAAACTAACAAACAGAAAGGAATAGCATCCTTTCTGTTTTTAAATTAACAAAAAGGATATCTACACAAAAACCCCATCCAAAGGTCACCAACACGAAAGATGAAAGGTAGACAAATCCATGAAGATGAGGAAAAACCAGCGCAAAAAGGCTGAAAATTCCAGAAAACAGACATCCTCTTATGCTGCAAAGGATCAAAACTCCTTGCCACCAAAAGAACAAAACTGGACGGACAGTGAGTTTGACAAATTGACAGAAATAGACTTCAGAAGGTGGGTAATAACAAACTCTTCCTAGCTAAAGAAGCATGTTCTAACCCAATGCAAGAAAGCTAAGAACTTTGCAAAACAGTTAGAGGAATTGCTAACTAGAATAACCAGTTTAAAGAAGAACATAACCTGATGGAGCTGAAAAACACAGTATGAGAACTTCGTGAAGCATACACAAGTATTAATAGCTGAATAGATCAAGTGGAAGAAAGAATATCAGAGACTGAAGATTAACTTAATAAAATAAAGTGTGAAGACAAGATTAGAGAAAAAAGAATAAAAAGTAAGGAACAAAGCCTCAAAGAAATATTGAACTATGTGAAAAAACCAAACCTACGTTTGATTGGTGTACCTGAAAGTGATGGGGATAATGGAATCAAGTTGAAAAACACTCTCCAGGATATGATCCAGGACAACTTTCCCAACCTAGCAGGTTGGGAAACATTCAGGTCAACATTCAAATACAGGAAATACAGAAAACACCACAAAGATACTTCTTGAGAAGAGGAACCCCAAGACACATAATTGTCAGATTCATCAAGGTTGAAATGAAGGAAAAAATGTTAAGGGCAGCCAGAGAGAAAGACAGGGTTACCCACAAAGGGAAGCCCATCAGACTAACAGTGGATCTCTCTGAAGAAACCCTACAAGCCAGAAGAGAGTGGGGGCCAATATTCAACATTCTTAAAGAAAATAATTCTCAACACAGAATTTCATGTCCAACCAAACTAAGCTTCATAAGCGAAGGAGAAATAAAATTATTTACAAACAAGCAAATGCTGAGAGATTTTGTCACCACCAGGCCTGCCTTACAAGAGCTCCTGAAGGAAGCACTAAATATGGAAAGAAAAAAACAATACCAGCCACTGTAAAAAACTATCAAATTGTAAAACCATCAACACTATGAAGAGACTGCATCAACTAATGGCATCATAATGACAGAATCAAATTCACACATAACAATATTAACCTTAAAAGTTAACAGGCTAAATGCCCCAATTAAAAGACACAGACTGGTAAACTGGATAAAGAGTCAAGACCCATTGGTGCGCTGTATTTGGGAGACCCATCTCACATGCAAAGACACACATAGGCTCAATATAAAGGGATGGAGGAATATTTACCAAGCAAATGGAAAGAAAAAAAAAAAAAACAGGTGTTGCAATCCTAGTCCCTGATTAAAAAAATAAAATAAAATAAAATAAAAAACTTTAAACCAACAAAGACCAAAAACGACAAAGAATGGCATTACCAAATGGTAAAGGGATCAATGCAACAAGAAACAAGAAAAGCTAACTATCCTAAATACATATGCACGCAATATGGAAGCACTCAGATTCATAAAGTAAGTTCTTAGAGGCCTACAAAGAGACTTAGACTCCCACACAATAATTGGGGGATACTTTGACACCCCAGCATCAATATTACACAGATCAATGAGACAGAAAGTTAACAAGAATATTCAGGACTTGAACTCAGCTCTGGACAAAGCGTACCTCATAGACACCTACAGAACTCTCCACGCCTAATCAACAGAATATACACTCTTCTCAGTACCACATCATACTTATTCTAAAACTGACATCATAATTGAGAGTAAAACACTCCTCAACAAACGCAAAACCATGGAAATCATAACAAACAGTCTCTCAGACCACAGGGCAATCCAATTAGAACTCAGGATTAACAATCTCACTAAAAAACATGCAACTACATGGAAACAAAACAACCTGCTTCTGATTGACTACTGGGTAAATAACTAAATTAAGGCAGAAATAAATAAGTTCTCTGAAACCAATGAGAACAAAGACACAACATACCAGAAACTTTGGACACATCTAAAGCACTATTTAGAGGGAAATTTATAGCACTAAATGCCCACAAGAGAAAGCGGGAAAGATCTAAAGTCAAAACCCTAACATCACAATTAAAAGAAGTAGAGAAGAAGAGCAAACAAATTCAAAAGCTAGGAGAAGACACGAAATAATTAAGATCAGAGGAGAACTGAAGGAGATAGAGAAAAGAAAAACGCTTCAAAAAAATCAATGAATCCAGGAGCTGGTTTTGAAAAGATTAACAAAATAGATAGACTACTAACCAGACTAATAAAGAAGAAAAGAGGGAAGAATCAAATAGACAAAATAAAAAATAATAAAGGGGATCTCACCACTGATCCCACAGAAATACAAACTACCATCAGAGAATACTATAAACACCTCTATACAAATAAACTAGAGGATCTAGAAGAAATGGATAAATTCCTAGATGCATACATCCTCCCAAGACTAAACCAGGAAGAACTCAAATCCCTGAATAGACCAATAACCAGTTATGAAATTGAGGGAGTAATATAATAGCCTACCAATCAAAAAAAGCCCAGGACCAGACAGATTCACAGCCAAATTCTACCAGAGGTACAAAGAGGAGCTGGTACCATTCCTTCTGAAACTATTCCAAAAAATAGAGAAAGAAGGACTCCTCCCTAACTCATTTTATGAGGCCAGCATCATCCTGATACCAAAACCTGGCAGAGACACAACAAAAAAGAAAATTTCAGGCCAATATCCCTGATGAACATCAATGTGAAGATCCTCAATAAAATACTGGCAAACCAAATCCAGCAGCAAATCAAAAAGCTTATCCATCATGATCATGTCAGCTTCATTCCTGAGATGCAAGGCTGGTTCAACATATGCAAATCAATAAACGTAATCCCTCACATAAACAGAACCAATGACCAAAACCACATGATTATCTCAATAGATGCAGAAAAGGCCATTGATAAAATTCAACACCCCTTCATGCTAAAAACTCTCAATAAACGAGGTATTGATGGAATGTATCTCAAAATAATAAGAGCTATTTATGATAAACCCACAGCCAATATCATACTGAATGGGCAAAAGCTGGAAGCATTCCCTTTGAAAACCAGCATAAGACAAGGAAGCCCTCTCTCACTACTCCTATTCAACACAGTATTGGAAGTTCTGGTCAGGGCAGTCAGGCAAGAGAAAGAAATAAAGGGTATTCGAATAGGAAGATAGGAAGTCAAATTGTTCCTGTTTGCAGATGACATGATTGGATATTTAGAAAACCCCATCTTCTCAGCCCAATATCTCCTTAAGCTGATAAACAACTTCAGCAAAGTCTCAGGATACAAAATCAATGTGCAAAAATCACAAGCATTCCTATACACCCAAAATAGACAAACATGGAGCCAAATCTGGAGTGCATTCCCATTCACAATTGCTACGGAGAATAAAATACCTAGGAATACAACTTAAAAGGGATGTGAAGTACCTCTTCAAGGGAACTACAAACCACTGCTCAAGGAAATAAGAAAGGACACAAAAAAATGGAAAAACATTCCATATTCATGAATAGGAAGAATCAATATAGTGAAAATGGCCGTACTGCACAAAGTAATTTATAGATTCAATGCCATCCCCATCAAGCTACCATTGACTTTCTTCATTAGAAAAAACTACTTTAAATTTCATATGGAACCCAAAAAAGACCTTGTATAGCCAAGACAATCCTGAGAAAAAAGAACAAAGCTGGAGGCATCATGCTACCTGAGTTCAAACTACACTACAAGGCTACAGTAACAAAAACAGCATGGTACTGGTACCAAAACAGATATGTAGACCAACGGAACAGAACAGAGGCCTCAGAAATAATGCCACACATCTACAACCATCTCATGTTTGACAAACCTGACAAAAACAAGCAATGGGGAAAGGATTCCCTATTTAATAAATGGTGTTGAGAAAACTGGCTAGCCATATGCAGAAAACCGAAACTGAACCCCTTTCTTACACCTTATACAAAAATTAACTCAAGATGGATTAAAGACTTAAACATAAGACCTAAAACCAGGCTGGGCGCGGTGGCTCACACCTGTAATCCCAGCACTTAGGGAGGCCAAGGTGGATGGATCACCTGAGGTCAGGAGTTCAACACCAGCCTGGCCAACGTGGGGAAACCCCACCTCTACTAAAAATACAATTTAAAAAAAACAAAAAAATTAGCCATGCATGGTAGCGGGTGCCTGTAGTCCTGGCTACTTGGGAGGCTGAGGCCAGAGAATTGCTTGAACCCAGGAGGCAGAGGTTGCAGTGAGCTGAGGTCGTGCCATTGCATTTCAGCCTGGGTGATGAGCATAAAACTCCATCTCAAAAATAAAAACAAATTAATTAATTAATTTAAAAAAATACCTAAAACCATAAAAACTCTAGAAGAAAACCTAGGCAATACTATTCAGGACATAGGCATGGGCAAAGACTTCATGACTAAAACACCAAAAGCAATGGCAACAAAAGCCAAAATTAACAAATGGGATCTAATTAAACTAAAGAGCTTCTGCACAGCAAAAGAAACTATCATCAGAGTGAACAGGCAACCTACAGAATGGGAGAATATTGTTGCAATCTATCCATCTGACAAAGGACTAATATCCAGAATCCACAAGGAACTTAAACAAATTTACAAAAAAAAAAAAAAAAAAAAGACAACTCTATCAAAAAGTGGGCAAAGGATATTAACAGACACTTCTTAAAAGAAGACATTTATGCGGCCAACAAGCATATGAAAAAAAGCTCATCATCTCTGGTCATTAGAGAAATGCAAATCAAAACCACAATGAGATACCATCTCATGCCAGTAAGGATGGCAATCATTAAAAAGTCAGGAAAAAACAGATGCTGGAGAGGATGTGGAGAAATAGGAACGCTTTTTCACTGTTGGTGGAGTCTAAATTAGTTCAACCATTGTGGAAAACAGTGTGGTGATTCCTCAAGGATCTAGAACCAGAAATACCATTTGACCTAGCAATCCCCTTACTGGATATATACTCAAAGGATTATAAATCATTCTACTATAAAGACACATGCACATGTGTTTTTGTTGCAGCACTATTCACAATAGTGAAGACTTGGAACCAACTCAAATGCCCATCAATGATAGCTGGGATAAAGAAAATGTGGCACATATACACCATGGAATACTATGCTGCCATAAAAGAGGATGAGTTCATGTCTTTTGCAGGGACATGGATGAAGCTGGAAACCATCATTCTCAGCAAACTAACACAGGAACAGAAAACCAAACACTGTATGTTCTCACTCATAAGTGGGAGTTGAACAATGAGAACACATTGACACAGGGAGGGAAACATCACACACCAGTGCCTGTCTGGGGGTGGGGGTTTAGAGGGAGGATAGTATTCGGAGAAATACCTAATGTAGATGACAGTTTGAAGGGTGCAGCAAACCACCATTGCAGGTGTATACCTATGTAACAAACCTGCACGTTCTGCACATGTATCCAAGTACTTAAAGTATAATAACAATAGTTCAATTCTTGAAGATCTATTTTTTTTGTTAATATAGCTATCTCATATTTTATATCCTGAATTGTTGTTCTGGCATCTTTGTTTAGGTTTTGTACTTTGTCTTGGATCTCATGATGTTTATTTGCAGTTTGTATTTTGATTTTTTGATCTGTCGTTTCAGACTTTTCAATTTGGTTATTATCCATTGCTAGAGAGCTAGTGCAATTCTTTGGAGGTGTCAGGACACTCTGGCTTTTTGTAATGCTAGAGTTCTTGTGCTGATTTCTTCTTCTCATGTGAGGAATGTGTCACTTCTTATTTTTCAATTTGCTATCATTTGGATGGAACTTTGTATTTTATTTCTTTTTATTTTTTCTCTTGAGAGTATGACTGTTGCGTATGTTTTGTATAATCATTTTGCTTCACTTCTGGATGCTTTCAAGGGGCCAAAGATCTGTTTGTGTTCTTTTGCTGTGGATAGATTCTGTATGGAGACTTTCTCAGCTCCTGCTTGTTGTAGCAATGTACTGGGCATATGAGTTGACACAGTACTTCATGCACTGCTGAGGGAGTGGAAGACTCAGGAAACTTATCTCATGTACCAGTACTAAGCCATTCTGGCAGCCATTTTATTTGGTAGTGCAGATCAGCCTCTGGTCCAGTATGTGGTGCTTAAGAATAAGAGCCAGCTCGCCCAGGGTAGGGTGGTGAGAAAAGATCATGTTGGGTGAGCTGAGATCTTGGAGGAAGGGGCAGAGAGGAGCAGGATCTCCTTGTTCTGAGCTGGTGGGAACATGATCTGCTTCCTTATCACTTCCATTTTCAGGGCTCATTATCTTCAGTTTGTAAAGACTGTTTCCTTTAGTTCCTGGCTGCAATATTGCTGCAGTCTGCAGATAAATGCCTCTGATGGCTACTACCCAAATGGGCTCAGGGTAGAGCCTCTTCCCCTAGTCCAGGGTAGGCAATTCTGTGACTTGGCTGTCCTCTTTTTCTGGCATGCTGCTGTTCTGTGTAGGAAGAGAGAGTTAGGTCCCACACTCTGAGTACACCCAAGAGGTGTGGGCTCACCTGCAGCAGAGGTAGAGCCACCGTGAAAAATGCAAACTCTTCCTCTGAGTGCACACAAGGCAGCCCTTAGTGGGAAGAATCACTGCTGCATCCACTGAGGGTTAAATCTCACAGATTCCTGCAGCATCCTAGGAATCTGCCAGTCCCCTATACTTGCCAGTGTCATAGCAGGTTGTGGGATATGTTTGTGGGAGGTCTAGTGTTGTGACAACTAAAGGGCAGAGAATCCCCAGGCATGGCAGTGGCTTGCCATGTGTGCACAACCAGTCTGGCATCTGACATCTCAGTGCAGGTGTGAGGGGAGTACAGGCAATACCTGCATGAACTGGCTGCCCAGTTCTCTTTTACTGGGAAGTTTTTAAATTACCGTCAATAGCGTTGCCCTAGGTTACAAAGGCAGAGGGGCTCCCCAACAGTTTGGCAGTCAGCAGATTGTCACAGGGGTGAGGGGAGCAAAGAAGCACTCCCACAGAACCTTTCCATGGGGCTCTGAGTTCCCCAGGGGTTGATCTCGGCTAGACTCTTGCTGCTTCCCTTTTCTGCATCTGGGCTTCTTTCTGTAGGCTCTGCAATAGGCCCTGGGTCTCTTCTCTCAGTTTTCCATTTGAAACTTGTCCATTCACCAGTAAATTTGATTTTCTTTCTGAGGAGAAGAGGCATTAGATGGCCCGAGTTAGCCATCTTGAAAAACATAATTGGAACTACATTGTAATTTGACTTTTGTAAAATATCTTCAGATATTTTTTAAGAACATTGTGTGTTTTTGGGTTTGTAAGTTTTTAAATTTAAAAAAACATTTAATTGACAAATGAAGATTCTATATATTCAAGGTGTACAGTGTGATAATCTGATATATGTATATATTGAATAATGATTATCATAATGAAATTAATTACAATATCCTTCACCACCCATGCTGTACATTAGATTCTTAGAAGTTGTTTATTTTATAACTGGAAGTTTGTGCCATTTGACCAATATCTCCACATTTTCCCCACCCCAAGCACCTGGGAAACACAGTTCCACTCTCTAAGTGTTTCACTTTTTTAGATTCCACATGTAAATGAGATCATACAGTATTGGTTCTTCTGTGTCTAGCATGTTGCACTTAGCAATAATATCTCCATGCTGTCAGAAATGAAACGTCTTTTTCCTGTTTTAAGCTGAATAATATTTATTGTTTGTATACATACACATTGTGATAAACACACACACACATATATATATATGAAATTATATGCGGGGTGCGGTGGCTCATGCCTGTAATCCCAGCACTTTGGGAGGCTGAGGTGGGCAGATCACAAGGTCAGGAGTTCAAGACCAGCCTGGCCAACATGGTGAAACCCTGTCTCTACTAAAAATACAAAAAATTAGCTGTGCGTGGTGGTGCACACCTGTAATCCGAGCTACTTGAGAGGCTGAGGCAGGAGAATCTCTTGAACCTGGGAGGTGGAGGTTGCAGTGAGTCAAGATCGTGCCATTGCACTCCAGCCTGGGTGAAAGAGCAAGACCCCATCTCAAAAAAAATTATATATATGAAATATTATATATATATATATATATATATATATATAAACGTTTTCTGTATCCATTTATCCTTCAGTGAACACTTGGATGGATTCCATAACTTAGCCGCTGTGAATAAAGCTCAATGAACATGGGAATCCAGATATCACTTTGACATACTAATTTCATTTCTTTTGGGCATGTAACCAGAAATTGGATTGCCTATAATTTCATTGTATTGCCTTTATAAATTACCAAGTCTCAGGTATTTCTTTGTAGCAATGCAATAATGAACTAATACAGTTAGTCTACCTAAAGGTTTGTCAGATTTCTTCTTTTCAAAAAAGCAACTCTTGGTTTTCTTGATCTTTTCTATTGTCTTTCTTGTGTCTATTTTATTTTTGTTCTGATGTTTACATTTTCTTCTTTATCCTGACTTTTAGCTAAGTTCTTCTTTTTCTTGAGGTGCAAAATTTGACTGTTATTTGAGATCTTTTTTTCTTAATGAAGGCATTTATTGCTATAAACTTTACTCTTAGAACTGCTTATGCTGAATCTTTTAAGTTTTTGTATGTTATGTTTCCATTTTTGGTGTTCTTATAATGGTTTTAAACTTGCTTTTAATTTATTTTTTGGCCCTCAGTTGTTTAGGACCAAGTTGTTTAATTTTCACACATTTCTGAATTTTACAACATTTCTGCTATTGGTGATTTCTAGTTTTATAACATAGTGGTCATAAAAGATATGTGATATGATTACAATATTCTTAAATTTGTTAAAGGTTGTTTTGTGGCCTAAAATATGATATATTCTGATGAAGATTCCATATATACTTGAGAAAAAAATTTGTGCTACTGCTATTGGATAAAATGTTCCATATATATCTCTTAGGTCCATTTGTTCTATGCATTTGAATGAGCAAACACTTCTTTCAGTATTTACGGACTACTTTTGGCAGATGAAGACCTTCTCCTGTTGATTTCCTGTGCTTATTGGATTATCTCCAAGATTGTGGCCAAGTGGTGTTTGAACCAGGTCATGTGACTGCTGCTGGTTTTGCAGTGGAATTTGCACTTAGTAGGCCTGTTACCAGGGGCTCTAGGGAGTATGAATCCTATATGTTTTTTGAGTGGACTGGACTGACTCCAGGTCTTTGGTCAGCAGATCTGGCACTGGAATAAGGATCTACTTCAAAATCTGCAGATGGTTTTCCTGTTTCCAGGTGATGAATGGGTACTGCTTCTTCTAGGTCTCTGGGAGGGCTTATGCTGGGTAATTCTGAGAATCCTCAGACAGATAATACCGACCCTAGACCATGGCTGGAAGGGCTTTGAACTGAGTCCAGGACTGGTTCAAGTCTGTAGCCATGACTGAGGCCTATAAGCCTACCATTGGTGTCAGAAGTGGATTTGTATTCTAGTGGCTTCCTGGGAAAGCAGGACTGTTCTCAGACCATAGCTGACATGAGCTGGAGTCAATTTACAGGGCTGTTTTAAGATTCACAGTGGGGCCAAGGTCAGTAGGCTTGCCGACAGAGGCAATGCTGAGTGAATTTTTCTCTAGGTCCCTCCGCAGTGTAGAAAGAACTGCTCTCAAACCGCAACTTAGAGGGGCTGGGCTGAGTTGCAGAACTATCTCAGGATCTGCTGTGGGGCCAATGCCAGCTGGCCTGGCTACAGGGGCATGGACAGGCATGTATTCCTTCAGGCAGAGCTGCTCTCAAACTACAGTAAGAAGGACTGGGGCTAAGTTTGCAAACCATTTTAGTATCTACCGTGGAACTGAAGTCAGAAGGCCTTCCCCAGTGACACTAGTGTGCATGACTCCTCCTGGGCCTTTGGCAGATAGTTTTGGTCACAGAAACAAGGTAAAATAGTGCTGTAGACAAGTCCACAGGGAAATAAGGCTGTTTCCAGGTTTGGCACCAGGACAATGGTTTTTGAGTCTAGCACTGGGGCATGCATGGGTCTTGCCTCTTAAAAAGGCATTCCTAGGTCCTAGGTGCCACCAGAGTTTCACAACCTCCTACCTCAGTCCTAATGTTTCCACAAATGCACTTTTGTCCATGGATACCTGCAAAATTATTGTTGTCATAAGGAGATATGAGTGCACCAGCTCCTAATTCTCCATCTTGCTGAATATCACTCTTCTCATTTTATGATTTTTATCTACTGGCTTTTGATTAGTATGATAAAGTATGTTAAATATTTACCTAAGACTAAACCTTTTCTAGCTGATATTTTATTTAAGGTTTTGCATCTGAAATTGTACTGCATTTTTCTTTTTTATCTATTTGCTATGTCAGTTTTGCTATCAATATTATGTGAGCTTTAAAATAAATGTTTGCGATTTTTTTAATTCGTGTTCTGCAACTGTGTTAGTTTGCTAAGGTTGTCATAATGTTATAGGAGTTATTAAGAAATTATCTTAGGCAGATAGAGAGGAAAAGAGGTCCTTGGGAAGTTGTTGTTTCTTTTAAAGCAGCTCCAGAAATGTTTCTTGTCTAGCAGGAAAGCACTGGTTCTTAGAGTCAGGCTGGCCACCTTTGATATGCAAATGCTGGCCATTAGAAACTGGGTCTGCCCAAACATGGCAATTCCTGCCGCCTTCTTGCCCTTGCCCCAACATGTGTCTGGCAACACGGCCTCCCCAACATATCCCCATGTGTAGAACATCATGGCGCACTGCATTTGCATAATAAAAGGCTAGGGTGGGAGGGCCAGTTTTTTCATGGGCTATGTGAATGACATGCCTGGTCAAACCAATCCCCTGAGCCCTATGCAAATCAGACACCACCTCCTCCAGCCTACTCATATAAGTAGCCACTTTTCTGTGGCACATGGGGTCTCCTCTCTTGGCTTTGGGAACCCCTCCCTCTGTCTGTACAGGGGAGCTTCTTCCTTCTTTCTTCTCCCTTCTTTCTTGCCTATTAAACAACTCTCCACTCCTTAAAACCACTCCACATGTGTCCATGTCATTTTACCCAATTCCCATGAAACAAGAGCCCTGGTGTTCCTCCACTCATCAGAGCTGTATCAATAACAACATACCAAAGAGTTGGATGGATTAAACAAGATAAATTTATTTCTCACAGTTCTAGAGGGATAGAAGTATAAGATCAAGGAATCTACAAGTTTACTTTTTTCTGAGGCCTCACTCCTTGGCTGACAATGGCTGTCATCTTGCTGTGTCCTCACATGATCTTTCATCTGTGCCCACATGTTCTTGCTGTCACTCTGTGTGTGCAAATTTTCTCTTCTTATAAGAACACTGGTCAGATTAAATTAGGCTTCACACAAGTGGCCTCATTTTGACTTAATTACATCTTTAGGGGCTACATCTGAATAGTCACATTCTGAGATATGGCGTGTTAGAGATTTAACATCTGAATATTGGGGGCACACAATTCAGCCCATCACAGAAAGAGTTAAAATAATACTGGATTCATCTGTATTCTAAAGATTTAAGATAATTGACCTACAAAGACATTCCATGACTAATAAGTTTTAAGTAGTTCTTTGACTACTTTTTCAAAACTGTTTTCTCCAATGACAATTTGTCTGTTTAGATTTTCTAGCTTTTTAAAGAAACAATTTTGTCATTTTATATTTCCCAAAAAATCAGGTATTTCATCTATATCATCTTTGATATTATTTTTATAAACTTGAATTAATTATGTTATTATATCATTTTTTTCTTCTTCTGTATCAGTGTTCACTTCCCCATTTATATTTTTCATGTGCGTATTTTGTGCTTTCTTCTTTTTTCAAATTTTTAGGCATGGTAGTGATGTATCTATCTATATTTAAGGAACAAATTATTTGATTTACTTATGAGATCTACCGCTACCGTTTATTTTTCAAATTTTTTCTTTATTTTCATTGTGGTCAATACTCTGGTTAAAAACTGTGATATTCTGTGGTCTTGAGTTCATCCTGGGGCTGTGTGAGACATAAATAAACTCTTTGCAAGTTGGAGAATTGTTGGTAATTTAAATTGTTGGTAATTTAAGAGCCAGGTTTTCAGAGTCAAATACGCATGAATATAGATCCTGAACATGTATGATTTCAGACAAGTTATTTAAACTCCAATACCTCAGTTTATTTGGAAAAGAAGTGTAAGTGTACCTATCAATGTGGATGATGAAAGGACTACATAAGATATCAGAGTTGTTAAGAGGAAAGGTTCTGCAGAGTCATTGGTCTTAAATCGTCAATCCATTTACGCTCTGTGTGACTGTGTTTAAATGATTTATCTTTTCTCTGCCTGAGTTTCTTCATTTGTAAAATAGAAATAATAATAATACTTACCCAGGTTACTTTTGAAAAATAATTAGGATTAGTACTTTTAAGCATTTCAGAGAGTGACTGGCCCTTAGTAAAATAGTAAAAGAAATGAAGAATTAGTATTACTACTAGTGTATTTGGGCCCTGATATTTAGAAGTAGCCTCAATAAACAATAAATGACTATTAATGAGAAAGGAAATGTTAATATATTAGAACTGCCTATATGTACATTTATCTGAGAACCTGACCTATAAATATGTTGTAAATCAACTCTAATTTTCTTAACCAATAATTTGTTTCATGAAATCAATGTTTATTTTATTTTTTGTCATTTACTTTTTAAAAATTGTAGTGAGATATGCTAATATAAAATTTCCCATTCTAACCATTTTTAAGTGTACAGTTCAGTGGCATTAACTATATTGTTAATGGAAATCTTGTTAACGTACATTGTTGTGGAAACATCACCACCATCTACCTCTAGAACTTTTTATATTCAAAAACTGAGAATTTACCTATTAAACAATAATTACCCATTTCTCCTACACCCATCCCCTGGCAACTACCATTCTACTTTCTATCTGTATGAATTTGACTACTTTAGTACTTCTATACCAAATATAAGTGTATTTGTCCTTTTATGACTAGCTTATCTCACTAAGTCTTACGCAATGTATTTAAGATTTATCCATGTTGTAGCATGTGTCAGAACTGTCTTCCTCTTCAAGGCTGAATAATATTGCATTGTTCATATATTAGACCCTCCATATTTTTGGGTTCTGCATCCATAGGTTCAAATTGCCATAGATCAAGAATATTTTGAAAAAATGGATAAATGCCTCTGTACTGAGCATGTAAAAATATTTTTTCCTTGACATTATTTTCTAAACAGTAGAATATAACAACTATTTACATTGCACTTACATTGTATGGGGAATTATAAGTAATCTAGAGATGATTAAAAATACAAAAGAGCATGTGCATATGTTAAATGCAAATACTACATCATTTTATATTAGGGACTTAGGCATCCATAAGTGGATTTTGGTATCCACAAAAGTCCCTAAAACCAATCCCCCATAGATACTGAGAAACTACCGTATATACCACATTTTGTGTATTCATTAGTCTGTGAATGGACACTTGGGTTGTTTCCACCTTTTGACTCTTGAAAATACTGCTGCTATGAACATGGGTGTACAAATATCTGATTGAGTCCATGATTTCAACTCTTTTGCTGATATACCCAGAAGTGGAATTACTACATCATATGGTAATTCTATACTTAATTTTTTGAAGAACTACCAAACTGTGTTTTGCAGCAGCTGCAATACATTACATTTCTAATGGCAGTGCACAAATATTCCAATTTCTCCACATTCTCACCAACACGTATTTTCTGTTTTTTGGTTTTTTTTCTTTCTTTTTTGTTTTGGAGATAATCATTATAATGGGTGTAATGTGTGATCTCATTATGGTTTTTATGTGCATTTCCCTAATAATTAGTGATATCAAACATGTTATGTGCTTATTGGCCATTTGTATCTTCAATGTCTATTCAAGCCTTTTACCCATTTTATAATTTGTTTTTTTTGTTGTTGTTGTTTTTAAGTTGTTGAATTCTAGGTGTTCTTTACATATTCTGGATACTAACATGTTATATATAATTTGCAAATATTTTCTCCCATTCTCTGGATTGACTTTTCCTTCTGTTGATAGTACCCTTTGATGCCAAAAAACTTAATTTTGATGTAACCTAATTCATCCTTTTTTCCTTTTGTTTACTATGCTTTTGATGTGCCATTCAAGATATCATTACCAAATCCAATGTCACAAATCATGTCCTTATATGTTCTTCTAAAGTTTTATAGTTTTAGTGTTTAAATATATGTTTTTCTTACCTTTTTAAATTTTTTTAAATATAAAGTAAGGGCCCTACTTTATTATTCTTTTTTATGTAGATACTCAGTTTTCTCAACATCTGTTGAAAACATTTTTTTCCCCATTGAATGGGTCTTGGCATCCCTGCCAAAAATCATAAGAACATTATGCAATTTTTTTCTATAATCTCTGTTCAATTCTATTGATCTATATATCTTTCTTTATGCCAGTCCCAGACTGTTTTGATTGCTTTAGTTTTGTAATATATTTGCTATCAGAAAGTATAAGAGCTCCAATTTTCTTTCAATATTGCTTTAGCTGTTTGGTATCCCTTGAAATTTCATATTAATTTTAAGATGTACATTTCTATTTCTGCAAAATCTTTACTGGGATTTTGAAAAGGATTTCATTTAATTCTTACATTTCTTTGGGTAGTACTGCAACATCTTAACAATATGAAGTCTTTAAATCCATGAACACAAGATATCTTCCTATTTATTTGTGTCTTTTTCAATTTTATTCAGCAATATTTTTAGTTTTGAGTGTACAAGTTTTTCACCTCTTATTTTAAAGTTTATTCCTAAGTAGTTTTACTATTTCTGATGCTATTTTAAATGGACGTGTTGTCTTGATTTTCTTCTCAGATTTTTTGTTGGTAGTATATAGAATAGCCACTGATATTTGTGGGTTATTTTTTTATCTTGCAATTTTGCTAAATTGATTAGTTCTAAGAGTTTTTTTGGGAATCTTTAGGGTTATCTATATATGGATTATGTCATCTTCAATACAAAATAGTTACTTTGTCTTTTCCAACTTGGATGTCTTTTATTTCTTCTTTTTTCTTTTTTTGGCCTAATTGTTCTAGCTAAAACTTCCATTACTTTGTTGAATAGAAGTGGCAAACATAGGCATCTTTGTTTTGTTAATGTATTATTAATACATTAAATCAATACTAAAACATTTTATTAATATTAATATTAATATTAAAACATTTCATTAATATTAACATTAAATTAATATTAAAACATTTTATTTTAATGTATTAAAAAGCATCCACAATTATTATAGCAATAAAATATTCAGACATCAAAAGTTGTTTGTGTATAATAGACACAATCTATAGGTAACTTTTTAAAGAATATTGAATTTTCTTCTGACACGTGATATATAGAATTTGGACATGGACAGGACATAATTGACATTATTTTTGTGAAGAGCAAAGATTAGGTATTTTTAAAGTTAGTCCTGTTAACAGAGTTTATATTAAAAAAACACACTATAAAAAGTGTCTTATAGTTGTCCTAAATTATATGTAATATTGCTTGCATATTTAGTTTGCAGATCATTTGACATATATACTGCATAATTTAAATTTTAAGGCGCACAAAAACTGCATATCACATTCATGCAATTAATTGATGAGCTGTAGCATGAGTCCAAAACTACTTTCTTGGAACAAAAAGATAGATTCTCAAATAAATAAGCATACATCCCAAAAATAAGCTACATTTAAGCTATGAATATAATGTATCAAAAATATAGTTCTGTCCTCTGTTTCATGTTGTTATACTTCAGTAATATATGATACATGTGTCTCAAAATAAAAATAACATGGGTACTATGCTAGTTAAAAGTAACAACCTTATACATTATAGAAATAATACTTGATTTGTATGTTTATTATATTACTAATAATTTCAACACAAAAATATAAATTTGGTCATATGATGTATATACATTTATGTGTATCTTTGTGATTATGTCTGTCGTGGTATATAAATTCCTTGAGGGCATGCATTGTGTATGTTTAATTTGCATTGTAATTATATCTGACAAAGTAACATTAACTAGTGTTTGCTTGATAATATATCTGCTAGTAAGTCAATTATTAAGGGACTTAGAATCATTAATGTGATTATTTTACAATCAAATTATAATATAGAGAAATCAAGTTTCTCTCACAACATTTATTTTGTTCTTCTTTCAATTTTACCAAGTTAAGGCACTAAAGTTAAAGCATAGTAAAAGGTCACCAAAAGTGAAAAGGACATAGCAGATTGGAGTTTAGGGCTGACTCAAAATTTTAGCTCAGTTGTCAAATGAAATCTGCTTAATTTTAAAACTCTTAGCTTTTTATCACCCAGAAATTATGGGCAGAATTTGTTTCAATCTCAGATAATAGAAGTAAAGCATTGTCACTGCATTTTGGCCAGAAGAATTGCTCAGAGTTGACTGCTGTAAGCAAATTTCAGTATACTATGCTTAAGTTAATAAAGATGTAGTTACATTTATTTTTCCAATAAGACAGCTCTTGAACAATTCATTCAGGCACCTTCACATTAGCATATTTCACATTTTGAAATAATACTTTCTCAAATTTCAAGTTTTATCTGTAATGAAAGGAAATACCATTACAGACTATTATAAGATGTGTATGTTATCTAACATTGCTCTTTATAACTTAGCTTAAACTAAATATTTTCTTGAAATGCAACTCCATATGGAATCTTACAACATATTTTCCTTGTGTATATGTAAAATCAAGATTATATAGATATGGATAGATATTATATATACACACACACATAGATCTTTGTATGTTATTTTTATTTAACTGAAGAATTCATTTTCTCAGTATTTTATTTAAAACTACTTATTGGTAAATTGTTCTCATGTGTCCCACCCATCTAGATTTATATTAATTTGTGTAAGAATATTATCTTGTCGGTTCATGCTGCTATAACAAAACACCTGAGACTAGATAATTTATAAAGAACAGAAATTTGTTTCCTCACAGTTCTGGAAGCTGAAAAGTCCAATCTCCAGACACTGGTATATTTGGTTTCTAGTAAAGGCCTGTTCCTTACACATGGCATCATCTAGATATCCTCACATGATGGAAGGGATAGGAAGGACAGCAAGGGGATGAACATTGTATTATCATATGGCAGAGAAGCAGAGGATAGTGAACCCATTCCTCAAGCCTTTTTTATAAAGCCCCAATCCAATCCCTGAAGACTTCCTCCCTCAATTTCATCACTTCCTAATGGCCGCACCTCTTAATACTACCATGTTGGTAATTTAGTTTCAAGATACAAATTCTTGGAGGCACATTGAGACAAGGCAAATGCTTATGTCTTACATTGATAGCCATTTTAGACATTAGTCAAAATAAAGTTGAGATTATAAAGATGTTTACACACAGAATGGAAGACAATATTTGCAGATCATGAATCTGATGAGAGACTTGCGTCAAGATTATTTGGAGAACTCATACAACTGAATAATAAAAAGACAAATAATACAGGCAAAAACATTAATAAACATTTCTTCAAATTGTATATAAAATGACCAATTCACACATAAAAAAGATATCCAATATTGTTAGTCATCAGGGAAATGAAACCGAAAACAAAGATGAGTAACCATTTCATAGAGGAAGCCTATAATTTAAAAAAAAAAACATAAAAACAAGTGTTGGTGAAGATGTGGAAAAATCAGAACTCTCACATATTGGTTGTAAAAATGTAAAATGTAGCAGGTACTTTGTAAAACACTTTGAAAGTTATTCTAAATTTTACATATACTTACCACATAACCCACCTATTCTGCATTCCACTTTAGATATATACTCAAGAGAAATAAAAACTTGTGTCCACTGAAAATGTTTTACATGAGTGTTCACATCAGTATTATAAATAATAGCCCAAAAGTGGAAAGAAATCAAATATTCATACAAAAGATGATCAGATAAACAGACTGTTATGTAGGCATACGGTGGAATATTATTTAACCATAAAAGGGAATAGCATACTGATACATACTAGATAAATTTTGAAAACGTAATGTTAGGCAAAAGAAGGCAGTCACAAAGACCACATATATGATAATATTTATATGAAATGAAAAAGTCTGGAGAAAATATAAAACAAATATTTCATTAACTAATATTTCTTATAACAATTAACATTAGATTTTGACATGTGAAAATGAAATTAAAGAACATATTCTGTGCATGACAATTCTGAAAATAGGGCTTTTGTTTTCCAGTTCTGCATGTAAGGAGCTTGGAAGATGCCACTTCTTTCTAGCAAGGAAAAAAATTAAGAAGCCTGAAAAATGTACTACTCTTCTGGATAAATAAGAAATGCAAGGACACAGGGAAAACCATTGCTCCCAAGATTGGAGAGGCAGATAGGCTTACTAAGAGTCAGAGCTTATTGGAGAAGAAACTCATAAGCAGAAACCACAACAGGTAACAGTGATGGAGTAGGAAAACACAAGCTATAATTGATAAATTGCTTAAGGCTTTGTGTGTACAAGTCTGATAGTTAAAACTCCGGGAGGACCCAGTGAAAGCAGGTACACCATACTCATGTGAGTTAAATTTACCTCCAGAAGCTGGAGCAGGTCTCACACTAAATATGGGAGAAGCTATCCCTGTTCAAGATGGCTGACTAGAAGCAGCTAGTGAGTGCCTATATCATGGAGAAGAATTAAAATAGTAAGTACATATTGGCACTTGCAGTGGATTGTCTAAGGGAGTATCCTTAAATTCACCAGGGAAGCATTGGGAACCATAGAAAGCAGAGCAGAGTGAAGCTACGCAGCCTGAAGAGCCAGTACTGATGTGAACCTGGGAGAGGCTTCCTAACATACGGAAGGGGTGAGTGAGTGAGAGACCCAAGGGGTTCCACACTTCCATCATGGACCTTTACAACCCTCATGACAGGAGAGTCCTTTTTAACCCCTCTCCCCCAGCGGGTCTCCAGATTGAAATGGGGAGCTGCCTGGAGACTGAGCAAAGGTACTGCTCAAGCCCACATGGAATCAACAAGCTTTTGATACCCAAGCAGCTCCATGCCAGCCACCACCGCCTCGCCAGGGAGAGAGGCCAGGCACTTTTGCACACTCCCAGGACAGATACTACCCTCAGGACAGATGCCACTCCTATTGTACAAAGCAGCAGGCGGATGACACATTACATGACCCTTCACCTCCATTGAACCCCACCAAATTGGGTTAGTCTGCTTTGGAGACAGGCCTCCAGCACACCAGCCCCATCCCCACCTGAACACTGCAACTGAAGCTTAACTCCCAGAGGCTGGTAATATGCTCTCTGCAGCCTCTGACACTGCTGCCTTTGCCTCTGCTATCCATGGGCCAGGCAGGGAACATGGAGGCAGGGCACTTTTAGGCACTGTCAAAGTAGATACCAAAATCAGGGCACAGAGGCATGGGCAGACTATGCAATGCATGATCCCTCACCTCTGTGGCTTCTTCCCATGCAGGGCTTGCCTGCTTCAGTGACAACCTTGTGGTGCAGTGCAGCTCCCCTTCCCCAAGTTGAACACTGTGACCACAGCTCAGCATTCCTCTGAGAGCCTAAGTGCTACCACGCCTGCCTCTGCCACTGCCAACCACAGGCTAGGAATGTAATGAGGAGGTGGGGCATTTTTGCATGCGTGTAAGACAGAACCTGCAGCCACAGTGTGGAGAAGAAGGCAGACTGCACACTGCGTGACCTCTTGCCTTTGTAGCTCTTTTCCAGGTGGAGCTTACTTACACAGTAACAGTCTCCCAATGCACCCACCCTGTCCCCATCTGAAGACTGTGGCTATAGCTGAACTTCCAGGGCCACTGATAGGCCATCCTGGGCATATGTCACTCCTGCCTCTGTCCACCCCTGCCACCCTAGGACCAGGGAGGGTATGGGTAGGCCAGGCAACTTTACATGCTCCCAATGGTGAAACCCAGTGCCACTGCTATGGCAGGAAACTGCAAGCAGGCCATATGCCCCGCAGCTGCCAGTTTTCACTGCCCCAGCCATGGGGTCCTAACTTTCCCAGTAAGAAGCTCACAGTACAGCCATCCTGCTCTTTCCTGACCATTTCACCTGCAGCCCAGCCTCTAAGGCCTGTGATCTTCCCTCTGACTTCCACTGCCTGAGCATTCTCCCTGCCCTAACCTGACTGTTCTGTCAGTGACCCAGAGACCAATCCATCCCTCTTAATCACAGCAGCTCCTAAATTCTGGGCTGATATAATCCTGGTCTAGCCCCTTCTGGACTCATATATGCCATCCAGTGGGCCACTTAGGGGCCTGAAAGTCAAGAAGTTATCTAACCTGGTCCACCACTCCTGGCACCTGACTACCCACCAGGAGGTCAGGCCAGCCCAACTAGCGGATACCATCACAACTGCTGCCCACGTGCATGGGTCAAAAGGTGGAGCCCCTACCCTCCTCAGCACAAAGCAGCAGCCTTACGACATTGGAGAAGAGGTGAGCCATAAAGCTGTCTGTACTGGGCTGAGTGAAGAGGTTCCATCCTGAAACCACTCCCACAGAATGCTACAGTACAGGCATTTCCATGCGTCTCAGCTACACTGTAGCCTGAAGGTAGACAAAAGTGTGAATCTGAATCATAAGCAGTGGGACAGGAGTGTGATAGAAAAGCTAATCACATTCCTGCGTATCTAGCACATGGAGGTGGAACAACCATTCACCCCATGCAATGACCTCAGTGCATCTCACCAGGAGCTCCCCCAGCCACCCCAGTCATCTGTGCTTGTCACTGAGGAAACTGTGAGGAAGTCAGGGAGTCACGCTCTGCTCAGCTGTGTTCCCCCCACCACACTGAACCTGAAGCTCCGGGTACTAGGCATTCCAATGTGCAGCGCATCACCTAAGGAAAGTAGAAAATACTTCAAGTTAAACACAAATCAAATACACACACAGCGGCTCCTGCCTCTATTGCCTCTTAAGCATAAGCATCACCTACTGGCCTGCAGGTCAAACTGCACAGACCAAGAAAAAGCCTGCTGACAGAAGTGCAAATAGCTATAGGAGCAAAGACAAAAGGCTCTACCCGACATACTCTATAGTCACACTCCCTAAAAGAAGAATATATATATTAAGGGTTGGTGGGGGGGGGGGGGGTGGAGAGAGAGAGACAGGGAGAGAGAGGGGGAAAGAGAGAGAGAGAGAGAGAGACCATCCAAGCAAAAATAAATTCAAAAAGAAGTGCCAACTTCTCCAGATGAGAAAGAAGCAGCATAAAAATTCTGGCATCATGAAAAACCAGAATGTAGTCACAACACCAAGAAATCATACTAACTCTCTAGCAACAGATCCTAAAAACATTTAAAACTCAGAAATGACAGATGATGTATTCAAAGCATGAATTACAAGGAAGTATAATGACGTCCAAGAGAAGGTTGAAAATTAACACAAAGACATCATGAAAGCAATTGAGGAAATAAAGGAAGAGATGATAAAGGAAAAACAACAAAGAGAACTTCTCAAAATTAAAAAAAAAAATCACTTAAGAAACTTCCAAATACAGTGGAAAGCTTTAACAGTAGACTAGACTAAGCAGAAGAAAGAATTTCAGAGCTTGAAGACCAGTTTTTGAATTAAGACAAACAAAAATAAAGAAAAAATAATTTTAAAAACAAAGCTTTGAGAAATATAGAATTATGTAAAGTGATCAAACCTATGACTTATAGACATTCCTGAGAGAGAATAAAAAGTAAGCCATCTAAAAAAAACAGTAATTCAAGAAAACTTCCCTAATCTCTCTAGAGAAGCAGTTGTGCAGTTACAAGAATTTTAAAGAAAACCTTCAAGATATTATAAAAATACACACATGAACAAGGCATGTAGTTATCAGACTATCCAAGGTCAATGGTACAGAAAAATTCTTAAAGGCAGCCAGAGAAAAGGGTCAAAACACCTATAAAGTTTATATGGTTTGAATCTGTGTCCTCATCCAAATCTCGTGAAACTATAACCCTCAGTGTTGAAGTTGCGGTCTGTGGGAGGTAATTGGATTATGGCAGAAGTGTCTTGTATTAGTCAGGGTTCTCTTAGAGGGATAGAACTAATAGGATATATATATATATATATATATATATATATATATATATATATATAACTATACATATATATAAAACTATACAAGCTGTCAGTGGCTTTACTATTCCAGGGTCTGGAAGACAGTGGTCATTTTGGCACAGCTCCTATATAACATATATATAATATATTCCATATTAACTTACATGATCACAAGGTCTCAGAATAGGCTGTCTGCAAGCTGAGGAGCACGGAGAGCCAGTCCGAGTCCCAAAATTGAAGAACTTGGAGTCTGATGTTCAAGAGCAGGAAGCATCCAGCATGGGAGAAAGATGTAGGCTGGGAGGCTCGCCCCTCTCGTTTCTTCGTGTTTTCCTGCCTGCTTTATATTCACTGGAAGCTGATTAGATTGTGCCCACCAGATTAAGGGTGGATCTGCCTTCCCCAGCCCACTGAATCAAATGTTAATCTCTTTTGGCAACACCCACACAGACACATCCAGGGCTAATACTTTGTATCCCTCAATCCAATCAAGTTGACACTCAGTATTAACCATCACATTGCTCATGAATGGTTTACCACTATCCCCTTGTTGCTACTCTTGTGAAAGCGACTTTTTATGAGAACTGATTGTTTAAAAGGGTGTGGCAGTTTCTGCCTCTCTCTCTTGCTCCTGCTCTGGCCATGTAAGATGTGCCTGCTTCCCCTTTACCTTCTGTCATGATTGAAAGTTTCCTGAGGCCTCTCCAGAAGCCAAGCAGATGTCAGCATCATGCTACCTGTACAGCTTGCAGAACCGTGAGCCAATTAAGTTTTTTTCTTTATAAATTACCCAGTGTCAGGTATTTCTTTATAGCAATGTGAGAACACACTAATACAGAAAATTGGTACCAAGTAGTGGGACACTGCTATAGAGATTTCTAAAACTGTCAAAGCAATGTTGGAACTGGATAATGGGCAGATGTTGGAAGACTGTGGAGGGCTCAGAAGAAGACAAACATGAGGGAAAATTTGGAAATTCTTAGGGACTTGTTAAATTGTTGTGACCAAAATGCCTGTAGTGATATGGACAATGAAGTCCTGGCTGATGAGGTCTCAGATGGGGATGAGGAACTTATTGGGAAGTGGAGCAAAGATCACTTTTGTTATGCATTAGCAACGAACCTGGTGGCACTGTGCACCTGCCCTAAGGATCTGTAAAACTTTGAACTTGAGAGTGATGATTTAGGGTATTTGGTGGAATAAATTTCTAAGCAGCAAAGCATTCAAGGTATGACCTGGCCATGTCTCACAGCCTATGTTCATAAGTGTGAGCAAAGCAATGATGAAAAACTGGAGCATATATTTAAAAGGGAAGCAGAGCATAAAATTTTGAAACTTTGCAGCTTGGTCATGCATTAGAAAAGAAAAGCCCATTTTCATGGGAGGAATTCAAGCAGGCTGCAGAAATTTGCATAACTAAAAAGATTGCAAATGCTAATAGCCAAGACAAAGGGGAAAAGGCCTCAAAGCCATTTCACAGACCTTCATGGCAGCCCTTCCCATCACATGACCAGAGGCTTAAGAGGAAAAGATGGTTTGGAGGGCCAAGCCCAGGGCCCCGCCACCCTGTACAACCTCAGGACACTGATCCCTGTATCCAAGCCTTTCCAGCTCCAGCCATGGCCAAAAGGGACCAAGGTACAACTCATGCTGCTGCTGCAGAGGGTGCAACCTATAAGCCTTGGCAGTTGCTACAAGGTGTTAAATAGAGTCCATAGAGTTAAATACGGTCCATAGAGTGCAAGAGCTGAGTCTAGGGAGTCTACTACTAGATTTCAGAGGATGTGTGGAAAAGCCTAGATGTCCAGGTAGAAACCTGCTGCAGGGGCAGAGCCCTCATAGAGAACCTCTACTAGGGCAGTGGGAGGGGAAATGTCAGGTTGGATCCCCCACACAGAGTCCACACTGAGACACTGCCTAGTGAAGCTGTGACAAGATAACCACTGTCTTCCAGATCCTGGAATAGTAGAGCCACTGACAGCTTGTACCATGCACCTGAAAAAGCCACAGGTACTCAGCACCAGCCCATGAGAGCAGCTGCACAGGCTGATCCCTGCAAAGCCACAGGGGTAGAGCTGCCCAAGGACGTGGGAGCCCACCCCTAGCATCAGTATGTCCTGGATATGGAGCATGGAGTCAAAGGAGGTTATTTTGGAGCTTTAAAATTTAATGACTGCTCTTCTGGGTTTCAGACTTGCATGGAGCCTATATCCTCTTTCTTTTGGTTGATTTCTCCCTTTTGGAACAGGACTATTTAGCCAATGCCTATCCCTCCATTGTATCTTGCAAGTAACTGACTTTTTTTTCTTTTATTTTGCAAGCACATAGGTGGAAGGGACTAGCCTTGTCTCATATGAGACTTGGGACTGTGAACTTTTGCATTAATGCTGGAATAAGTTAAGTCTTTGGGGGACTGTTGGAAAGGCATGACTGTATTTTGACATGTGAGAAAAACATGAGATTTGGAGGGGCCATTGGCAGGATGATATTGTTTGGATCTGTTTCCTCACCTAAATCTCATGTAGAATTGTAGCCACCAATGTTTGAGGAAGGGCCTGGTGGGAGGTAACTGGATCATGGCAGTGGTTTCTCATGAATGAGAGCACCATCCTTTTGGTGCTTTTCTTGTGATAGTGAGTTCTCCTAAGATCTGGTTGTTTAAAAGATTTTGGCACCTTCCTCCTCTCTCTATTACTCCCACTCTGGACATATAAGCCAAGCCTGCTTCCCCTTTGCCTTTCACCATGATTGGAGGTTTCCTGAGGCCTTTCCAGGAGTGATAAGATACCAGTATCATGTAACCATGCAACCATGAGGCAATTAAACCTTTTTTTTTTTTTATAACCTATCCAGTCTCTGGTATTTTTTACAGCCATGTTAGAATGCACTAATCCAAAAGTAAAACTTATCTGATTAACAGCAGAATTGTCACCAGAAACCCTAATAGCCAGGAGAGATTGGGGGCCTATTTTTAGCCTCCTTAGAGAAGACGAAAAGAACGTCAGCTAATAATTTTCTGTGCTGTCAAACTAAGCTTCATAAATGAAGGAGAAATGTAGTCATTCTCAGACAAGTAAACTCTAAGGAAATATGTCACCACAAGACCATTCCTACAAGAAATGCTTAAAGGAGTTTTAAACATGGGAACATAAGGATAACAATCACCATCAGAAAAGCACACACAGCTATAAAACTCATAGATCTTATAAAAAAAAACCTGCAGAATTGAAACAGAATTAAAACATCTCACTTGCAAACATCTCACTACTTTAGGAACAAAACTTCACACATCAATATTGACCTTGAATGAAAATGGCCTTAATGGCTTACTTAAAAGAGACTGGCAAATTGGACTTAAAAAAATGATAATAAGACCCAACCATCTACTGTCTACAAGAGATCCATGTACTGTTTCAAGGTACATTAGGACTCAAAGTAAAAGGGTGGGAAAAAAAATCACACAAATGCAAAATAAATGTGATCAGGAGTAATCTTTATCATATTGGATAAAACAGATTTTAGGCCAACAGCAGAAAACAAGACAAAGAAGGCCATTATAACATAAAGGTTTCTACGCAAGAGGAAGATTTAACTATTCTAAATATATATGCACCCAACACCAGAGCACCCAGATTAAAACTAGTACGACCCAACCTAAGAAGACAGATTAACAACAGTACAATAATAATAGCGGATATCAACACCAAACTGACATCACTAGCCAGATTAATGATGCAGAAAATCAACAAAGCAACTCTGGATATAAACTGGACTACTGACCAAATACACCTAATAGACATTTACAGAACATTTTACTCCCAAACCACACAATACATATTCTTTTCACCTGTGCACAGAATATCCCCTGAAATTTACCACATGCGTGGTAAAAAACCAAATCTCAATAAATTCAAAAACATCAAAATCATGTCAAGCATCCACTTTGACCACAGTGGAAAAAATTAGAAATCAATTCCAAGAAGAACTCTTAAAAACTAAACAACTACATGGAAACTAAACAACTTGCTCCTGAATGGCTCCTGGTTAAACAATGAAATTAAGACAGAAATCAACAATTTTTTTTAACAAGAATGAAAATAGAGACAAAACACACCAAAACAGCTGGGATACAGCAAAACCAGCGCTCAGAACAAGTTTATAGCATTAAACACCTACATCAAAAAGCTAAAAATATTTTAAATTAACAATGTAGGGTTGCATCATAAGAAAATAGAAAAGGAAGAACAAACAAAACCAAAAGCTAGGGGAAAAAAAGAATTAACAGAGAATGCAGCAGAATTAAATTTAAAAAAACTATCCAAATAATCTGTTTCTTTGAAACAGTATATCTGGTTCTTTGAAAGAAAAAACAATATTGACTGACTGCGAGCTAGACTAAACTAGGAAAAAAAGAGAAAAGAAATGATAAAGGTGACATTACAATTGATATCACAAAAATACAATAGATCATCAGAGAATCCTGTGAACATCTCTACATGCACAAACTGGAAAACCTAGAAGAAATGGATATTTTGCTGGAAACATACAACCTCCAAGACTGAACCAGGAAGAAATAGAAACTCTGAACAGATCCATATTGAGCAATGAAATCAAATTAGTAATAAAAAATCTTCCAGCAAATAAAAGGCCAGGACCAGACAGATTCACAGCCAGTTTTTAACCAAATGTATATAGAAAAGCTGATACCAAAATAATTTCAACAAAATTGAAGAGGAGGGATCCCTCTATAACTTATTCTACAAATCCAGTATCACCTTTGTACCAAAACCAGGCAGTGATACAACAACAACAGCAAAAAGGATAGCACAGACCAATACCCTTGATGAACATAGATGCAAAATCCTCAACAAAATACTAGCAAATTCAATCCAACAGCATGTCAAATAAATAATTTATTATGATCAAGTGGGTTTCATCCTTGGAATTGTGTGTGTGTGTGTGTGTGTGTGTGTGTGTGTGTCTGTAGAGAGAATTATCAGGCTCAATCTATATTCCCACTTCAGCATACTTAGCAGCTGGAATTACAGGCAAGAGTCACCATGCCTGGCCTGATTAGTGATTATAGCAAGGTTGCAGGATATAATGCAAGATTAATATAAAAAACAATTACTTTCCTATATACCAGCAACAAACAAGAACAACCTGAATTTTAAAATACAATACCAATTACGTTAGCATGCTTCAAAATGAAATGTTTAGGTATAATTCTAACAAAATGTGTACAAGATTTTTACAGGAAATTTACAAACTCTGTTGAACAAAATCAGTGAAGAACTTAGTATATTTGGAAATATTTGCTGTTCATAGATAGGAGACAAATATTTTAAAGATGTGAGTTCTTCCCAATAATCTCTGCAAGTTATTTGGTGGTTATCAGCAACTTGATCCTAAAGTTTATATGAAAAGGCAGAATATCCAAAATAGCCAGTACAATAGTAAGGATAAACAATATGGTAACGAATCTTTAGAGATATGCAAATGTAAACCTTAATGATAAACCAACTAACACTCATTTTAATGACTATTATGAAACGCACACACAGGCATACACACAACAGAAAATAACAAATATTGGTAATAATGTGGTGAAACCCTTTTGGACTGCTGAAAAGAATGTAAAACAGTGAAGACCCTATGAAAACCATATGGCCGATCCTCAAATAATGTAACATAGAATTACTATATATTAAAGCAATTTTATTCCTCAGTATATATCCAAAAGGATTTAAAGCAATGTTCAAATAAATATTTGCACATTTATGTTTAGGACAGCATTATTTACATTAGCCAAAAAATGGAAGCAAGGCAAGTGTTCATTCATAGATGAATGAATACACAAAATGTGGTATAAACATAAAAGAGAATACTTGTTAATCCTAAAAAGACAGGAAATTCTGACACATACCACAACATAGATGAACCTTAAATACAGTGTGTAAGACTTAGTAAAATAAGCCAGTAACAACAGAATAGAGTTATATGAGGTGTCGATGAAAAGAGTCTAACTCAGTAAAATATTTTAAGAGATTCATTCTGAGCCAAATATAAGTGACCATGGCCCAAGACACAGCCCTCAGGAGGTCCTGAAAACATGTGGCCAAGGTGGTCGGGGTACAGCTTGGTTTTATATATTTTAAGAAGGCATGAGACATCAAATACACCTAAGAAATACATTGGTTTGGTTCAGAAAAGTGGGACAACTCAAAGCAGGGGCTTCCAGGCTATTGGTAAATTTAAACATTTTCTGGCTGACAATTGGTTGAGTTTATCTGAAGACCTGGGATTAATGGAAAGGAATGTTCAGGTTAAGATAAAGGATTGTGGAGACCAAGTTTTATTGTGCAGAGGAATCTCTCAGATAGCAGACTTCGGAGAGAGAGAGAGCAGGTTGTAAAATGTTTCTTATTGAACCTAAAAGGGTTCCTGGCTTTTAGTTGATTATCACCTGTATCGGAAAGAAAAGAGAGAAAACAAAGGGGAAAAGATATTCTCTATAGAACATGAATTTTTCCCACAAGAGACTTTGAAGGGCAATTTCTAGGTACAAGGAAATATATTTTGGGGTAAAATGCTTAGATTGTTCCCTTGTTATGCCAGAGTCAGTTTGGAAAGTAAGTCACAATATACAGGGTTAAATAAAACCCATCTAATGAAAATTTATGGTTTGTAGGGCATGACTCCCCAGACCCCTTAGAAAGGAATTTGGGCAAGATAAAAAATCAGAGCTTAGTCCTCAGAGGTAACTAGAGTAGTCAAATCTATAAAGAAGAAAAATAGAACAATGCTTCCCAGCAGTTGTTAGTAGGGGAAAATGGTGAGTTACTGTTTAAGGGACATTGGGTTTTAACCTGAGAGGAAGAAAAATTTCTGGAGATGGATGTAGCGATGGATGAACAACAAGATGAATACACTCAATGCCACTGAACTATACCCTTAAAAATAGTTAAAATAGTAAGTTTTAAGTTATGTACATTTTACCACAATAAAAAGTGTACAAAGAAAAATAGAGAAGACTGAAATTTACAGAAAATATCATAAAGGAGAATGCAGACATGAAAAATTTTCCCCCAGTGATGAGTATGTGTTGCTGGACACAAATTTAAGAAAAAGCAGAAGCTAGGAAACACCATAGTCCTAGTGTCTCGGTTCTTTCATGCTTCTGTCACAAAATACCACAGATTGCATAATCCATAAATAATATTTATTTCTCATAGTTTTGGAGGCTGAGAAGCTGAAGTTCAAAGCATGAGCATGTCAGTTGTCTGTTTAGGGCCCTCTTCTCAGGGTTGATGCTGTCTAGGTGCCCTAACATGGTGAAAGGGCAGAAAGAAAGAGGCAGCTCTCCGAAGCCTTTTATAGACATTAATCCCATCCATGATTCCAGCCTGGAGGATCCATGGGCATACAACTCAAACACAAATTCACATCAGAATTGGGATGACTACAGAGATCTAACATGGTGGTGGGGCCACCCATTGCATTGGGGCAGGTCCACACATCCCAGTGTATCTAAAAGGTAGGATCCCAACTCCAGTGTGTCCAGAAGAGAAGGTTGGGCCCTGACCCAGTATGTCTGGAAGGTGTGCCCATCTCCAATTTCCAGTTGGCCTGGAGGGCAAGCACTAAACCAAAGAAGATTATTCTCAAGCTGTAAAATTTAATATTATTTGCCCTATTGTATTTCATACTTATTTGGAAACTATTGGTTTTTATTCTCTTATATTTCTCCATTTTGGAATAAGAATGCTTATCCTATGTCTGTTTAACCACTGTATTTTGGAAGCACATAACATGTTTGACTTTACAATTTCACAGTTGGAGAGCAATGTTTCACAGAATAAAACTTACCTTGAATTTCACCCACAAACAATTTAGATGATATTCAGATGAGACTTTGTACTTTACAGTTTTGTGTTGGCGCTGGAAGAAGTGAAGACTTTTGGGGCTTTGGTGATGTCATGAATGTATTTTGTAGGTAAGAAAGACAAAAATTCAGGGGGATCAGGGGAAAATGCTATGATTTGAATGTTTGTATTCTCCGCAAAATTCATATGTTCAAATCTTAACCCTCAAGTTTATAGTAGTAGGAGGTATGGGGGTAAAACTGTCATGAATGAGACTAGTGCCCTTATAAAAGAGATCCAAGAGAGATTCCCCATCACTTCTGGTATGTGAGTTTACAGTGAAAAGGTGGCCACCTATGAGAAAGTGGGCCCTCATTAGACACCAAATCTGCTGATGCCTTCATCTTGGACAGCACCCCCCTCTCCAAAATTGTAAGAAACAAATTTCTGTCATATATGAGCTACCCACCAGCCTAAAAAGACTAAGAGAGTTAACATTTGTTTTTTCATGGGATACCTGGGTTTGTACCTTATTCTCTAAATACACTTGTTAGTAATTTTCTGTTGCCATAACATTATTCCATAGACTAGATAATTTATATATAAAATACTTTCATTTAACTCACAGTTCTGGAGCCTGGGACATCTACGAGCATGGCACCGGCATCTGGTAGGTGCCTTCTTGCTGAATTGTAAAATGGTGGAGGGCATCACATCACCAGAGGGCAAGAGTGTGCCAGCTCAGGTCTCTCCTTATCTTCCAATAAAGTCACTAACCCATCATGAGGATCCCACACTCAGGACCCCATCTAACCCTAATTACCTCCAAAAGGCCCTACATCCATCTACACATGATCAACATATAAATTTGGGGATTAAGTTTCAAACACATAAACTTTGGGATACATATTCAAACCACAGCAATATTTATATTTTAAAACATATTTTCATAATAAGTAAAATAAAATAAGAATATTCATACTGGGAATGTTAGAAATCACTGTATAGAACATGGCCTTAAAACTATAATGTTAAATATATTTTGAAGCATGTTTACACAGATGACTAATATAGTCATAAAATAATTTAGTGTACCACCCAGATAATATCTTACTTTGAGTCATGTAAGTGCCCAAAACCCTACAAAATCCTGAGATAATCAATAATTAATAAATACTTGTGGAACAAACTCAAAAAGGAGAAAAATGTACATAGAATAAATACATTTGGAACAAATTCAAAAAGGAGAAAAATGTATATAGAATAAAAAATTAATAAAGAAAGCCAACAACCATAAGAAAAGATGATCATATCACCAGTCACTAAGGAAATGCAAATCAAAACCACAATGAGATATTACTTCACACCCATCAGAATAGTTATTTTAAAGAAAATAAAAAGTGGCTGGACGCGATGGCTCATGCCTGTAATCCCAGCACTTTGGGAGGCCTAGGCAGGTGGATCACCTGAGGTCAGGAGTTCAAGACCAGCCTGACCAACATGGTGAAAACCCATCTCTACTAAATACAAAACATTAACTGGGCATATTGGTGCATGCCTGTAATCCCAGCTACTTGGGAGGCTGAGGCAAGGAGAATCGCTTGAACCCAGGAGGTGGAGGTTGCAGTGAGCCAAGATTGTGCCATTGCACAATCTTATTGCCTGGGCAACACGAGTGAAACTCCCTCTCAAAAAAAAAGAGAAAAAGAAAAACAAAAAGTAACAAACATTGGTGAGGATGTGGAAAAATCAGATCACCTCTGCACTGTTGGTGGGAATGAAAAGTTGTACAGCCAATGTGAAACACATTATGGTGATTCCTCAGAAAATTATAAATATTACCATAGGATCAAGCAATACAACTTCTGGGTATATATCCAAAAGAATTTTAAGTAGGATCTCAAAGAGATATTTGTACACCCACATTTATAGTAGTGTTATTTATAATGAACAAAAGGTGAAGCGATCTTAATGTCATATGCATATGTGATTAAACAAAATGTGGTATGTCCATATAATAAAATATTAGCCTTAAAAAAAAATCTGACACATTACACAACATAGATGAACCTTGAGGATGTTATGCTAAGCAAAATACACAAGTCACAAAAATGCATATACCATATAGCTCCACTTAAATGAAGCATATGGACTAGTCAAATTTATAGAAACATAAGGTAAAATGGTGGTTGCCGGGGCTCAAGAAGGGAAAAATGGGCAGTTGTAATTACTGGGTATAGAGTTTCAGATTTGCAAGATGAAAAAGCTTAACAGACTGGTTGCACAATTATGTGAATGTATTTAATATTACTGAATGGCAAACCTACATGTTCTGCACATGTATCCCATTTTTTAGAAGAATTAAAGTAAAATAAATAAATGCTTTTAATATAAAAAAAAAGAAAAAAGTCTCATGAGATTTTTTCTATTGAACCAAGTTCCATCAAAGCCAATGTAAATAAGCCTATATAAAAAATAATTATCCTTGCTGCACTTTATACAAATAATCTGGCCAAGTATAATAAAGCAAATTGATTCTACCATGATTTGTCTTTAGTAAAAATGGGAAACAGGAGAGAGAAAAATTATGTTTCAAAAACTACAATACACCTGTTGTTAGATCCTAGTCTTGTCTAATGTTTTTCAGTTTTTATTATTTTCTACAGTTTGGGCTGAATTATAATTTTTCCTGGCAACAAATCTTTAAAATAATATTTTCATTTTTTCTTTTCTTTTCCTTTTCCCCCAATTTTTCCTAACTTGAAATCATTGAAAACTAAGCTGTGCTTTCATTAAGCCCTACAAACTATAGCGAGACAACTTAAATTTTAGAAGAAAATAACAGCAGCCTATTTACATACATAAGCCACTTTCATACCTGCCTAATGATGAATGGACTTCAGAGTTTTGTGGCCTATATTGATTTTCCAGTATTGTTCTTTTGTTTGTTGTTTTTATTCCTTCCTTCCCCTATGTTCTCTTCCTAGGACATGACTTCACAGCCTGATAAAAACGAGCTTTCCTAATAACTCATGACCTACCTGTCTAGGAATAAACCATCCTAGCCATGCGAGATCAGAAGAAACCTGAGACCAGAGACTCATTTTCTTCTAAAATGCTTTCTCCAAAAAATTTTTAAAAAGAGAGAAAATGGGCCGGGCGCGGTGGCTCACGCCTGTAATCCCAGCACTTTGGGAGGCCGAGGCGGGTGGATCATGAGGTCAGGGGATCGAGACCATCCTGGCTAACAAGGTGAAACCCCGTCTCTACTAAAAATACAAAAAATTAGCCGGGCGCGGTGGCGGGCGCCTGTAGTCCCAGCTACTCGGGAGGCTGAGGCAGGAGAATGGCGTGAACCCGGGAAGCGGAGCTTGCAGTGAGCCGAGATTGCGCCACTGCAGTCCGCAGTCCGGCCTGGACGACAGAGCGAGACTCCGTCTCAAAAAAAAAAAAAAAAAAAGAGAGAGAAAATGTGAAAGGAATAAAATCTTGGGGTCCCCAAATCACTAAGCTAAGGGAAAAGTCAAGCTGGGAACTGCTTAGGGCCAACCTGCCTCCCATTCTTTTCAAAGTCACCCCTCTTCTCACTGGGATAAATGCATACCTGATTGCCTGCTTTGGAGAGGCTAATCAGAAACTCAAAAGAACGCAACCATTTGTCTCTTATCTACCTGTGACCTGGAAGCCCCTTCTCCACTTTGAGTCATCCTGCTTTTACTTTGAGTTGTCCTGCCTTTCCAGACTGGACCAGTGTTCATCTTGCATATGTTGATTGATGTCTCATGTCTCCCTAGAATCTATAAAACCAAACTGTGTTCTGACTACCTTGGCACATGTCATCAGGACCTCCTGAGGCTGTGTCCTGCGTGCACGTTCTCAATCTTGTCAAAATAAACTTCCTAAATTAACTGAGACCTGTCTCAGATTTTCAGGGTTCACATCTTCTTTACCAAAAATACTTCTTTATATCTTTAACTTTCTTTACATCTCTTATTTTATGGTAACTTTTACCTTGTTTTATACATAACCTTTAAATAAGCCTTTAATTAGACAAAGATATTTGCCTTTTAATAAGAACTTTTTTAAAAAAATGGTTTTCTATAATTTTTAAATTGGAAATTACTCAGATACCTGATATCAATTAATAACTTTGAGATCCTAAATTATGACAAGTTTGTTTACAAGCATTTATTAAATTACATTTAACTGATTAATTTATTCAATATTAATCGTTTACCTAGATTACTTACAAAAACTGTGATAGTCAGTATTTAAAGTTATTTCTTTGTTAACTGTTTTTACACCTGTGAATTTCAGGTATTTACTTAAGAACCTTAAAGTTAAATATAAGGGTATTTTTTACCAATACCTCAAGATTTAGCAGTTTTCATTAAACCAACAACATTCCATGTCTTATTTATCAAAAATTACACAAGCAAAGATCATTGTGTCCTGGGCTGGGTTTTATACTTATATAACCCTTATGGCAAATCGTATAGTATTCTACAGGAATAAGCATGAAACCACTTGATCAACAAATGAAAATAAAAATGCTATCGATTCTTAAGAAATTTCTAATATTATTTGATACGTTTTGGGTGTGTCCCCACTCAAATCTCAACTTGAATTGTATCTCCCAGAATTCCCACGTGTTGTAGGAGGGACCCAGGGGGAGATAATTGAATCATGGAGGCTGGTCTTTCCTGTGTTATTCTTGTGACAGTGAATAAGTCTCACGAGATCTGATGGGCTTATCGGGAGTTTTCACTTTTGCTTCTAGCTCATTTTCTCTTGCCGCCACCATGTAAGAAATGTCTTTTGCCTCCTGCCATGATTCTGAGGCCTCTCCAGCCATGTGGAACTGTAAGTCCAATTAAACCTCTTTTACTTCCCAGTCTCAAGTATGTCTTTATCAGCAACATAAAAACAGACTAATACATATTTCACCTATAACTTTAAAGCCAACTTATTTATTAAAGATTTTACTTAAGTCATGTGAACTTGAAAAAGCATTTAGTTAGGCTTTTCTTTTAAGTATTTGATTTAGATTCTTTTATTTTTTAAGCCAATTAATTAGAGCACTTTTATATATTTTTAGTAGTGAAATATTTACACAACACATAAACACATAGACATATTAGGCATGATGAATCTTATAGATTCATAAGACCCCTTTTCTTTTTTCTTTTTTTTTTTCTCCTATCATAGGCTTTCAAATTCTTGATAACCTGATTCACCACCTTAGGCAGTTGTCAGCTAAATAGCCTTAACTCTGAATATTAAAGGAAACAACTCTTAGGTAAAAATCAGATACCAAAATTTACAAAGAAAAAAAGTCTGGTGTGCTAGAAAAAAATTAAAATGGATTTAATTGTCAATTAAACATATAATTATAGAAATTATAAAGGCATTTTAAATATACGCACACACACAAACACACACACACACACACACACACACATGCAGATCACAGAGATCCTATAGCTTTTACTTCAGAACCGTGAGATAAATACAAATTCACCAACTTGCAAAAAACAAACAAACAAAAAAACTGTTAAATCCAAACAATGGTTTTTATTGCAGTAGAAAAAGTAAGAGCAGATTTAAAGCAGGCAGAAAAGAAAAATAGAGAAAAACAGAACTTAGGAACTCTATAGTTTGCAGATCTACCTTAGGGGTATTTTTCCTCAATGTAAATGTGCACAAAGACCATAATACTTCCATTTTATATGAACTCTGGCAAGTAGAGGTGTCATAAAACCAATGGAGTGCCCCAAAGGAGGGTCATTCTTTTTTTTTTCCCCCCATTCTTAGACTGTTTCCCACTTTTTTTTTTTTTTTTTTTTAGAAGGAACTGAGCTATGGCCTAGGGCTTTTGTGGAGTGGGTTGAAATGTGTGTTAGTGATGGTATTGGCTGCTGCCATCATGCCGGCTGCCGCAGGGAAACCCAGCTGGGCCTACACACTCTACGGAGTGAGTTCAAGCCCTGCCCCTTCTGAGTTGGGAAGGGAGTTCCTTGTCCCAAACCCCGAAAGGCAGCTGCAGACCCAGTCCTTTACGGAGCAAGCAGGAGCCCCACCCTCCCGGGCGGGGCTGCACCTACCCAAACTGCAGCTATGGATCCAAGCCTCTGAGTGCTCTTGGCGGAGCCAGGAACAGGCCAGATCTGCTTTCCCGGTGCAGCTGCAGCCTATGCACCTGTGGCTGCAGACCTAGGCGTTCTGTTCCAGGAAGAAGGCAGGAGCCGGTGACAAGAGGGAGGGAGCCCTACCCCTTTTCAGTTGGTGGGGCGGGAGCTCCCAGGTGCAGCTGCGGCCGCCCTCCTAGACACAGGACCCAGGCATCTCTGCAGCCTGCGCCCTCAGAGGCCCCAGGAAGGACCCCCTCATCCCTGCAGGCTCAGGGGTGTCTGCTTCCACCTGCCTGACCACTCTCCTCTCCGGGCACCTTCTCCAATTTCAGAGCAGGCTTTGGGCTGAGCCCCAGGGGCCATGAATGACAGCAGGAAGCAAACTGGTTCCTGGGCAGAAGAGGCCTGGTCCCCGGGCAGAAGAGGCCTGGTCCCCAGTAAGGCCCCACATTCAGGCTAGGGAGGGCATGAAGGCTGGGGGCTGGGCTACCAGTCCTGAGGACTGGAGTGGGGACTCAGGTGCCTCTTCTGAGCCCACCCATGGCTGCCCATGGACCAATCAGCATGCACTTCCTTCCCTCTGAGGTTTATAAAAGCCCTGGGCTCAGCCAGAGCAGGGCAGAGGATGGCCAGAGGATGAAGAGAGCAGAGGACGGACAGACAACCAGCTGCAGAGAGGAGTACCCTCTCTGCTGATGGCTGGAGATGATGGGATGACCAGCTGCAGAGAGCTGCAGAGACAACCTGCCATGAAAGAGGTGCTACCTTCTCTGTTGAGAGCTTCAGAGACCTGCAGCAATGTCAAAATGACTTGCTGCAGAGAGGAGTCACCCTCTCTAGAGCCTCCTCTCTGCTAAGATCTGAACGTTTCACTGGGCAACCTGTCTATAGAGAGGAGCTACCCACTCCTCTGAGCTGTTCTAACATCAAATAAAACTCTTCTTCTTCACCTTTCACTTGCTTGCATATCTCATTATTCCTGGAGGTAGGACAAAAACTCAGGCAAAGGCGCTGCGGCCATAGAGGTTTCCAGTAAGAAAAATTGACACCCCAGATATCCTGTAAAATTAACCACTGAGTCATTGCTGCCCTCTTACATGTATCTTTCCCTCTCCAGAGGTCTAAGCCCCTTCAGCAGGGCCCAAAGTATGAAGCAACCAGCTCCTGTATACACTTCCAGGACGAGCCTATTTTGAACTAATTTCATTGGGGGTTCCCTGTAGGGCTGCTGTAAATCACGGAGGGTCAACACCCCAGACAATCCCACGAGGCCCCCAGTAACCCAGGGTGCCTTTCAGCTGGAAGGAACAAAATGCCCTTTCTTTTCCAAGCTGAGTAAACTCAGTCTCTCATTTACCTATGAAAACAACAGTACAGTTCCTCATGCAAATGCGCCCAGCCAAGCCAAATCAAGATTAATTTCGGGAGAAAAAGCAATGGAGAAGACCCTTTAAAATGCACCTCTGAACTAGAATTAGGATCCTTAAACAACAACTTCCTAGAAGAGCAAAAATAAAAGCTCAGAATAAATCAAGGACCTTTCATCAAAGGGAGGTTCTGGGCTCAGGAGGACTTAGCAGTTCCACCAGAGGAGAAGCTCAAAGTCGTGGAGGCTTCAATGGGCCCCTGCTGATACCTTAGCTCTGAGTTTGGGCAACTCCTTTGGAGTCCTGAGTCTTCTCTGAGGCCCCACGTGTTTGGGTGCCAAATTATTATCGATGAAAATAGTCAAAATCTGTAAAATATTTGAAGAGATTTATTCTGAGTCAAATATGAGTGGCCATGGCCCATGACACAGCCCTCAGTAGGTCCTGAGAACATGTGCCCAAGGTGGTCAGGATGCAGCTTAGTTTTATACATTTTAGGGAGGCATGAGACTTCAATCAAATACATTTATGAAATACATGTGTTTGGTCCAGAAAAGTGGACTTGAAGTGGGGCGTCTTCCAGCTTATAGGGAAATCTAAAATTTTTCTGATTGACAATTGGTTGAGTTTATCCAAGTACCTGAGATCAATAGAAAGGAATGTCTGGGTTGCAATAAGGTTGTGGAGGTGAAAGTTTTATCATGCAGATGAAGCCTCTAGGTAGCAGGCTTTAGAGAGAATAGATTGTAAAATGTTTTTTATCAGACTTAAAATCTGTGTTGATATTAATGCCAGAGAGGTATAATAAGGATGTCTGACCCCTATTTTCGATCTTGGCCTGAACCAGTCTTTCAAGTTAAATTTTAAGAGCCCTGTCTGAGGAGGAAGTCCATTCAGATGGCTTGGGGCCTTAGAATTTTAATTTTGGTTTCCACAGTGCATTGCCAGCCAAGAAAACTCACCTGAGCTTTAGTTTCCATATTTTTGGAGGGCTTCATTATATAGGTATGACTGACCAAATAATTGGTTATTTGAGCTCAATCTTCAGCCTCATTCCATTCTCTGGAGGTTAGACAAAGATATCAAGTAGCCCAAAGCCCCAACTCTCTGATGGTGTTTTGCTTTTTCTTTTATGACCAGCCCCCATTCTGCTGGTCATTTTATTACCATAAACTATTTAGTGTTCTGACATGATGCACCTCATTAGCATAAACTTAGGTTGGTTCCAGATCCCACAATGAATAACAAAAACCTTCTGTCATTTGAAAAACTCCAGGGGTTTAGAAGTTACCTCTCAGGAACCAGGGACAAAGTCCCAGACAATGATCTTGTTTATGCAAGTTTTCAAAAAACAAACTGCATGTGGAGCATAGTTCTAATTATTTCAACATATTTTAATGGAAATATAATGGGAAATATACGCAAAATTATTATATGTGCCAATTTCTCTGTTGTTGGATTGTATTCTTTATGTTTTTATTTTCTACTTTTCTAAAATGAGCATACATTAAATGTATAATTAGAAATATATATATTAATTAGAAATGACTTTGGAAGAAATGCATTTGGAGAAAAGTGTTAGTAAAGGTGACATTTCCTTTCTTGGAATTGTTTTAGATGTTTTTCAAGTTACTGAAAATTGATAAGAAAAAGTCTTAAGGTAAAACATTCAAAATTCTATTCCATAAAAGATATTGAAAATATGTGAAATCTTTTGATCTACTAATGTGAGATATAGTCGCTTTTAAATAATAAATTTCTTCTTTGGTAGATCCAGTAGCAGGCTTTGTTTTCAAAAAAATGTCTTTGCAAATTGCATAAAAGATATTAAAGTAAAAGCATCTGAACTGCAGTAGTAGCTCTCAACATAGTTATTATCTTGCACTATGTTAAAATTTGAACTTAAAAATGATTCTTAAAACTAGTATATGTAATGAATGTCTTATTAGACAACATCTTATTCTCTACATCTCAGCATGTTCAACTCTAAAAATATATGCAAATTATTCCTTTTCAAACCAGAATGTGAGGAACATCTTGAATCATCACAGGAGACTAACAAATTATACAGTGGTGTTCACTTAAATGAGTACCTGTTAAAGAGCTAAGGCACTTTTGTAGAATCAAAATATATTAACTCTATGAATCAAACCAAAATATATACAGAAAATACATGTGAATGATTTTTCAATACAAATGACTATTGAAAATGCTGTCTGTTTGAAAATGCGCAAACACATACACACATACAAATCCAAGATAAAAGTAAAAATAACAAAAATGACTTGAAAAAATAATAAAATAAATGTAACTGTGTATTATGTATACCTGAATCAAGTGCTCTTTAGAGAAGGCTTGAAAATGGTTTAGTAATTTATTTCCAGTTAATATACGAAATGAAGAGAGAAGACCAGAAACCTATCTGAGGTCAAAAATAAAATCAATGGTAAAATCAGGCTCCTAGTTATTAACTTTACTCCCAGAGAGAACCATTATATTTGTTCTTCTATTTTTCAGGTCATGTACCACCACAGAAAGATTCTTTGTAAAAGCTCTTAATACAGAATGGAGAGCTTTGTTTGCTCATTTTTCTTATGTTTTAACAAAAATATTCACGTCACTACATTTTTATATGTACATTTGCCTTGTTAATCAAGAAACATGCATCCATTAATTTTTAAAAAATGTGTGTGTGTGTTTTTCACAATTCATAGGGTAACAATAAATACAAAGTTCTCTCTGTAGAAGCAAGAAAATTAGAAATTAAAAACCTATTATAATAAAGTAAGCTTATAATCTGAACAGACTTTGATATTTCATTTTAATCAAGAGGCAAACCAATTTATTTAAGAAAAACATGCAAAAGTTCATAAGAAGTAGCAATTTACTAACTGTATGAAGATATATCTTCTTTGTACCTGTAAGATAGCTCATAAAAGCACTGCCAAATCAGAATATTGTGGCATTGACATTAAGGCATATTGTTTCATATAGTCTCTGACTAAGCCACAATTATGCATATTTTCTGGAGATAATCTCTTATCCCAACTAGTGAAGTTATAGAATGAATAAAATATGCTATAGAGCCTAGAGAAGTAGGTTAAATAAACAACGTAACCTTCATCCTACAATTCTGATTACAGCTTTCCAGGTTGTCTCTTTGTTCTGGCTTTAAAATTTAGTTGTTTTTCACAAAGAGTTTGCAATTATGCATTTTAGCTATTCAGTGTCTGTGACACTTGCACAAACTACTTTGTGAGAGTATAAAACATTTAAAATCAATGTTGCATTCCTTGCGTTCCTATTTTGAATTTTTTCTCCCATGTTTATTTTTAAACTCCAAGCACAAATTTAGAAAAAAGCCTTAGGTGAGTAAATGTATATTTGCTTGTTCAATATTTATAATGTAATTTATTTTTAAATATTCTGGTAATTGAAAAATACTGCGATAAGAAAAATATACGCACATAAAATAACAAAGAAAACAATAAAAGAATAGAAATGGTGATCATCCTTATATTCACTTTAAATAACCTGAGAAACCTCATATAACTGTAAGCAACGTTAAAAATCATGTATTTTAAAATTATCATTATCACATCGTCCAAAATATGTGGTCCCATATTAAGTAACACTAACCAGGTTTTGATAATTCTAGCATATTTCAAATCGTTCATTGCATTTCTGGCTCATGTTAAGTTGAGAAGTCATACCAAGGAACTATTTATTTCAGCTTTTGGCTCTTATTCATGTATGAAGTTCATAACGTAGTTAAATTAGCCACAAATTGAACTGTGATTACACAGTAAAATGCAATGTGAACAATCTACTTGTGTAGATTTTTTAGTCTCAGTTGATGCTTGCTCTCAGAAATCATTTTTAAAAATTGATAAAATTTTAACTCGGTTTCTTTTTGATTCAAAAACAAATTAAAATATGTCTTCATATTACTGATTTACTCTGCCAAGAAAAAATTATATGTTTTATGAAATTCTATTTTTTCTGTCAGTATGATAATTGAGAGAATATAAGGTTGTCCTAGGTCTTTATTACATATTTAAAAACTGTTTTCAAGGAGACTGCTTTTATGTTTTCCCATATAATATTTATTATATACCAAACATTTATATTTTCAAAATGTACAGCTAGTATTGAGGGAATGAGAAGATCACATAAAAAAGAAAACAATGAACAGACCATTGAAAAATTAATGGACTAAGTAAATAGATTATATTGGGGAAAAGAAAAAAAAAGGAGAAAACTAACATGTATAAAGAAGAGAATGGAATAAAATGGTAATTAATCTTGCTAAAAGAGTGAAAATACACCTTTAGAAGTTGATTCAAACTGTTTTATCAAAATATAAACATAAAAGAAGAAAAATGTTATTTCCTATAAATTACATAAATAATTACTCACTAGGTTTATTTATTTGTTCTTAATGGGAAAATATCTTCAAAAGGTCAAGAAAGACATAATTTCTAAAATGTGTTTTCAATATTCAAGAACATTGCTCATGATTGACCAAAGGTAGTAACTTGAAGAGAAAAAAAAGGCATGAGAAAAAGTGGGTTCTATACTTTTAAAAGTTGAAATTATATTCAGCAGATTTATGCTTTCATAATTTTTAAAAAGTTTAATTTTTATATATTTTCATTTATTTTTCAAGTATTTTTTCTAAATTTTACTGAGTATAATTTCCAATGGGGTTTAGTCTATCCAAGCTTTAATCTGGTGATTCATCATTCAGAAGTAGAGTAACCTTCCAATACAAAAATGCCTTATATCAATGTTATTTGTTGGTTGAAGACTTTAAAATGAAAAATTACACATTACTTATGCTAGTGGGTAAATTCCAGATATATTAATTATTACTACAAGTTATAGATAATTTACTAACTTAAAGATAGCAGAGCTATGAGTTATGAAAGGTTACCAATAAGTAGAAATAAGTAGTGTTTTCAGATTTTGTCCATTGACTATATTGTTTGTGTAACATTTCACAACATATGTGGATGACTTTGTCTTTATTCTGGCTCTTAATGTTTTTTCTAAGTTTTAAACACAGTACTGTGACCGGAATTGGTGGGTTCCTGGTCTCACTGACTTCAAGAATGAAGCCGCTGACCCTCACGGTGAGTGTCACAGTTCTTAAAGATGGTGTGTCCTGAGTTTTTTCCTTCAGATATTCAGATACGTCCAGAGTTTCTTCCTTCTGGTGGGTTCGTGGTCTCGCTGGCCTCAGGAGTGAAGCTGCAGACCTTCACGATGAGTGTTACAGCTATTAAGGCAGTGCATCTGGAGTTGTCCATTCCTCCTGGTGGGTTCATGGTCTTGTTGTCCTCAGGAGTGAAGCTGCCCTCAGGAGTGAAGCTGCAGACCTTTGTGGTGAGTGTTACAGCTCATAAAGGCAGAGCAGACCCAAGCAATGAGCAGCAGCAAGATTTATTGCAAAGAGGGAAAGAACAAAGCTCCCACAGTGTGGAAGGGGACCCCGGCGGGTTGCCACTGCTGGCTCCGGCAGCCTGCTTTTATTTCCTTATCAGGCCCCACCCACATCCTGCTGATTGGTCCATTTTACAGAGAGCTGATTGGTCCATTTTACAGAAGAGAGCTGATTGGTCCATTTTGATGGGTGCTGATTGTTGCCTTTACAATCCCTGAGCTACACAGAGTGCTGATTGGTGCATTTACAATCCTCTAGTTAGACATAAAAGTTTTCCAAGTCCCCACTAGATTAGCTAGTCACAGATCACTGATTGGTGCGTTTAGAAACCTTTAGCTAGACACAGTGCTGATTTGTGCATTTACAAATCTTGAGCTAGACACAAAGTGCTGATTGGTGCATTTACAAACCTTGAGTTAGACACAAAGTGCTGATTGGTGCATTTACAAACCTTTAGCTAGACTTAAAAGTTCTCCAAGTCCCCACCTGATTCAGGAGCCCAGCTGGCTTCACCTAATGGATCCCACACAGGGGCCGTGGGCAGAGCTGCCGGCCAGTCCCGCACCGTGCGCCTGCACTCCTCAGCCCTTGGGAGGTTGATGGGACTGGGCACCATGGAGCAGGGGGCAGCACCTGTGGGGGAGGCTTGGGCCGTGCGGGAACCCACCGCAGGGGGGCTCGGGCATGGCTGGCTGCCAGGTCCCAAGCCCTGCCCTGCAGGAAGGTGGCAGAGGCCCCACGAGCATTAGAGCGTGGTGCGGGTGGGCCAGCAGTGCTGGGGGACCCAGCGCCCCCTCCACAGCTGCTGGCCCGGGTGCTAAGCCCCTCACTGCCCGGGGTCGCTCTGAATATGGGGCTCGCTGAGTCCGCGCCCACCCGGGACTTGCGCTGGCCCATGAGCACCACGCGCAGCCCCGGTTCCTGCCCGCACCTCTCCCTCCGCACCTCCCCACAAGCAGAGGGAGCCGGCTCCAGCCTTGACCAGCCCAGAGAGGGGCTACCACAGCGCAGCAGTGGGCTGAAGGACTCCTCAAACGTGGCCAGAGCAGACGCCGAGGCCGAGGAGGTGCTGAGAGTGAGTGAGGGCTGCTAGCACGTTGTCACCTCTCAGTACCATCTTAAATCAATTTAACTAATAACAAAAAAAAACTATATTTTTCAAATGTTATTTATTAAGACAATAGATTTCTCACAATTTGCAATTTGAGTTTAGAAAATGTATCTCAACTGTTTTTTTCCCAGAATCATCCAAATCACGGGAAAGGAGATAAATTATTATCTACCTAAAGTAATGGGCTAGGGAGGAGCTTCAAGATATCCAATGGGGCATATCTCAACTATAACCATAATTTATTTTGTAGACTTTTTAATTTAGTGATCAATTTTCTCTCTAAAATTAGAATAACTCAACAGATAAATTCATTAAAAGTATATATAACATACAGAGTATATATACAGTGTATATGGTATATGTATATTACATATGAGAAATACTTCCTTGTATTTTTATATTAGCCCTAAAATGAAGAAATGATTGATTTTATAAATCAGCATGGACCTGAGATGAGAGTGTCAAAAAGAATAAAACTGACAAAAAAATCCCCATAACTTCTGAAGAGGGTCAGAATCAAGAACAATTCACCTAATCACCCAGGCTTATAATTTTTAATTAATTATCTACTATGAAAGGAATTATATTAACACCAAAACATAACAGTATTTTTTTCTTTTTTTTTTAATTTATTTTATTTTAGGTTCTGGGGTACATGTGCAGAATGTGCAGGTTTGTTACATAGGTAAACCTGTGCCATGGTGGTTTGCTGCACCTACCAACCCATCACCTAGGTATTAAACACCACATGCATGAGCTATTTGATTTGATGCTTTACCCTCTGCCACACCCCCCCGACAGGCCCCAGTGTGTGTTGTTCCCTTCCCTGTGTCCATGTGTTCTCATTGTTCAACTTCCACTTATGAGTGAGAACCTATGGTGTTTATTTTTCTGTTCCTGTGTTAGTTTGCTGAGGATGATGGCTTCCAGCTTCATCCATGTGCCTGCAAAGGACATGATCTCATTCCTTTTTATGGCTGCGTAGTATTCCATGGTGTATATGTACCACATTTTTTTATCCAGTCTATCATTGATGGTGATTTGGGTTGGTTCCAAGTCTTTGCTATTGTGAATATTGCTACAATAAATGTATGTGTGCATGTATCTTTATAATAGAATGATTTATATCCCTTTGGGTATTATACCCAGTAATGGGATTGCTGGGTCAAATGGTATTTCTGGTTCTAGATCCTTGAGGAATCGCCACATTGTCTGGCACAGTTGTTGAGCTAATTTACTTTCTAACCAACAGTGTAAAACCATTCTTATTTCTCTGCAGCCTCTCCAGCATCTGTTGTTTCCTGACTTTTTAATGATCGCCATTCTAACTGGCGTGAGATGGTATCTAAGTGTAGTTTTGATTTGCATTTCTCTAATGACCATAAACTGGACTTTTACCATTGTATTACAAAGGTAGTAATACTTACACATTTGGTTCATCTGATGAACTAATAATTTAGCTGCTACATATCAAAGCTGTCAGTGCACTGATTATATCTCCCATGGAAGATATTTTTCATCTTTTGATTCAATGAAAGTTTCCTGTATGTAACCAAATTTCATACAGTTCTAAAAACTCCTTTAGAAAGTTACCATTTTAGTTTTGTTTTCTAGGCTAAAGCAATTTACTGTCTACCATCATATGTCTTATGTTTCAAAAAATGCCTTTTTTTCTACAGAAAAAAACTTATAAAATTAAATATAGGTTTAACAAGTAGGATTTCAAGATTATACATGGTGGTTTTGTGCTAGTTAAAAAAAAGAATATATAATGTTTTTACCAAATGAGAACATTATGTATAAATATATATACATATAATACATATTTAACATTGAGTTTTTAACTGGGGTAAAGGTTGTGGTATAAAGCATGAAAAAGAAGAGAGCTGGGAGGCATTTCAGGCATTGTGAAAGCATCTTTATTCACATCACAGCCTTGTTACAGACAGAACAGTGAGGATATGCTTTCATATAATTGGCTATATCTCCCTAATTGGCTATATAAATTTCATTAATGTCATTGCTAACTTATAGAGTAGTAACACATAAAGGATCTTGACTGCTTTCAAATACTATGGATAATAAAAAAATAATTAAACTTGCCATTCCACTTTGTGTATTTAAGTATTATAACTAATTAATTAAGCTATGTTGACTATTATGAAGTCACAGGCAAGCAGAAAGAAATGGTCTTGATCAAGTTCTAGTCAGTAGTCCTGTGGTAAACTGACTACACGATGCATGTATCTGCTTCCTGTTGTTTGCCTGGATTCATGTGAGAGGTTTCCACCAGGGGATGCATCTGTAGTCTGTCAAACTATGTAGATAGATATTGTAAATTGATCTGACCACATTCTAGAACTGCAGATTAATTTACTTGCCATTGGTACACTTGGTCTTATAACTCAGCCACTTACTCAGCCTAATCCTAAAGTTATTCCTTCCTGTGAATTGGAGAATGGTATCTTCAAATAAAGCTTCAAATAGCAAACATTTCATAAAGATCAACTCACCTTGAGATAACTAAAAGGTTCTTTCTACTTCAGCTCATTCTAGATGTCATTTCTCTCACAAACATCTCTGACCTACCCTTACTTCCATTTATTGCTTCATGCATAACTATTCATTAGTTTCTCACAAAACTAATCTCTGCTTGCAGAGATTGTTCTGTTTGAGATTTTTCTAAACCCCTAAGTAACAATAAATTCATGTAATAGAGAAGTTGAAACTTTCTGTGATAGTCTTAATGACTTCTTTATGATAAAAGATATTTAAAGAAATTATCCTGAGAAGAAACATTTGCTAAAGAATTTATCTTTCTTTTCAATTTACCTCCCAAATGCAAAAGCATGATAGGATGAAATAGTAATACGTGTGAAAAAAAATATTTTTCCAAATAAGAAAAGCCCCTTTGGCATTCTTTCTGCAGGGAATAATAGACCCAACTATAGCTTTATATTGATGAAACACAGTTGGGTGGTCAATGCATTTTCACAGTGGAATGAGACTCAATAGGTCTTTTTCATCTCTACTTCTAGATTCTCTGATCAAATATCAATACTTAACAATTTTAACCAGTTATATTTAAAAAACAGAAAACTACACATTGGAAAGAGAAATAAATACATAAATAAAATGTGTAGGAAGCAATGTGTACTCAAACTAAAAGTTCTGAATAAATTGTAGGGGATGGTATATTTAAGGCCTTACCCTTAAATTATAACTTCCTAAACAGGAACTGCATATAAAGAGTTGTTTTTCTTACTTAAAGTTTTATCAGATTTTTTTTATTAAGTAGATTATATTGTTCTACTTAATAAATAGAGATATATGGAAACATATAAAAATGCTCAACACCATTGGTTATTAGGGAAATGCAAATTAAACCACAATGCACTACACAAGTATAAGAGTAGCAACAAAACAAACCACACAGATACCTGACAAGATCAAATTCTGGTTCGGATGCAGAGCAACAGGTTTATGGAAAGTTTTAATAACATAACTAGACATAGCTACTTCCAAATTTAAAATATGATTAGAACTTTTATTGTCACTTAAATTGGACAGACGATGAAAGTTTAGACAGATAATCTTTCACTTAAAGTTAAATGCAGTGAGAAGGAAACAGCCTATTAAATAACATTTAACGTATCTACAGCTAGCATCTATACATAATGGTGAAAGAATGAATGCTATTGTAACATCAGGGTCAAGACAAATATCTGCTTTCACTACGCCTATTAGTATCACATTGGGGATCTTCACCTGCAAAATAAGACAAAATGAAGAATTGACATACAGAGTGTATACTAAGAAACAAAACTGCCTCTATTTTCAGAGGACATGTCCATCAACATACAAAATGTACAAAAAGTTCTTAGATCTCATAAGTGAACTTAGCAAGGTCTCGTAATACAAGGAAAATATACAGAAATCAATCATATTATTATATTACAGCAATTAATACTTGGAATTTGAAGTTTTTAAATGACATCAGTTACAATAGTACTAAATATAATTAAGTACTTGGGTATAAATTTAACACAACATGTGAAGAATGTCTGCACTGAAACTTACAAAACACTAGTGAAAGAAGTCAAATATCTAAATCAATAGAGATGAAAAAGATATTTTTCATGTTCATGAATTAGAAGATGCAATATTGTTAAGATGTTCTTTTTTCTCATTTGCTATATGCACTTAACGATATTTCTATCATAATCCCAGCAAGATTTATTCAGATATCAGAAGCTGATTCTAAAATATATATGGCAAAACAAAGGAACTACAATAGCTAAATCAACTCAGAAAAAGAAGAAAAAAGCTAAAGGGCTCCCACTATCCAATTTCAGGACTTATTATAAAATTATAATAATTAAGACAGTGTGGTATTGGAAAAAAAGATAAACATACACATCAACAGAATAGAATAGACAGTTGAGAAATAGGCTTATATGAATATCATTTATTGCTTCTTTTTACAAAAATTCAATAATTTAATAAAGAATTTTTTTCAATAAATATTGCTGTATCAGTTGTAAATCCCTATGCAAAATAATAAACCACAGCATATACCTGATACATTATCCAAAAATTAACTGAAATAAGTAATTTACCAAAATGTATAACAAAACTATAAAACATTTAAAAGCAAACATGAGGCAATATACAAAATCTTTAGTTTAACAATAAGATTTAAAGATAAAATGCAAAGCATGATCTACTTTAAAAATGTTAAATTAGGCTTTGTCAAGATTAGAATACTTTGCTCTGTAAAAGACACTGTAAGGAGAATGAAAAGGTAACACACACACTAAGAGAAAGTATTTGCAAATCAAATAACATATCCAATAAAATCTTACATGCACAGTATATAAATAACTCTAAAAAGTCAACAATAAGGAAAAAAGCGACAAAATTAATAAATTTTAATAAGTTTAATAAATTTTTTAAAAGTCTAAAAAGACACTTCACCAAATTAGGTATGTGAAAGCATATGAAAAAATGCTCAACATCATTAGTTATTAGGGAAATGCAAATTAAAACCACAAGGTACTACACAAGGATTAGAATGGCAACAAGACAAACATACACACACCTGACAAGATAAAATTCTGGAAATTATGCATGTTAACAGCAACTTTAGTTGCTAGATGATATGCAAAATTGTTCAGCCACTTCTGAAAATGGTTTAGCAACTTTTTACATATGTAAATATACATTTATCATATCATCCAGTAATTCCACTCTTAGATATTTAACAAAAAGAATTGGAAACTTCTATTTACTAAAGGCATGCAAACACATATTTATAGCACGTTTTTTTATAATCACAAAAGGAAGAACCAAGACATGCTTCAACAGGTGAATGGATAATCAACCTGTAGTATATCCATAGAATGTAATAATACTCAGCACGAAAAAGGAACGGTTGATTCACACAACAGTATGGCTAAATCTGATATACATTTTGCTAAGTGTTGTATTATCCCATTTGAAAGCCATTTGGGTAAAGGCAAAACTACAGGAATGATAAACAGATCTGCAGTTACCAAGGATTGTGAGAAGGAAGATTGCTTGACTACAAAGAGGCCACGCAGGAAAATGTTAGGAAGATGCAGCTGTTTTGCATGGCACTACGGTGGTGGATACAGGACTAAGCATTTTTCAAAACCCATAGAACTGTACAATACAAAAGATGAACTTTATGGAAATTGCAAAAAAAAAAAAAAAAGAAAAAAAAAACAAAAGCAGGATGTCAGGAAATCCCAGGATGGATTGCAGACAAGAAAAATGAACCCAACTGTATTATAAATGTATAACATAACTTCACTGAAGGGGTTGAAGAGAAAAATAACAAACCTAAGTAACTTTGGCAACCAGTGTTTTGACTAGATACAATAAACCAGGAAGGCAAGAATAAACCCTGTGGGGTATAACTAGCTGAGAAATATCAGTGTTTAAGTTAACATAGACATGAATATATAAATACAGAAATAACTATAGATGTATGTATTTATGTATGGGTTAGCATACATGCACTTATACATATTCTTTCTGGCTCAGTACACAAAGGCGGCTTAGAAAGGAAAGAAAGAGGGAAGGAAGAAGGAAGGAAGGGAGGGAGGGAGGGAGGGAGGAAGGGAGAAAGGACTCATGCTAAAAAGACACAGGAGCCAACATGAAAGAGCAGCTCCAATGACCAAATCTGAAAAAATTTGAGAAACAAAATTAATAATGATAGTTTTGGATTATACGCTAGAAACATTGATAAAGATTAGCAGTTCCATGGTATCTCATTGTGGTTTTGATTTGCATTTCTCTAATGACCAGTGATGATGAGCTTTTTTTCATATGTTTCTTGGCTGCATAAACGTCTTCTTTTGAGAAATGTCTGTTCGTATACTTTGCCCACCTTTTGATGGGGTTGTTTGTTTTTTTCTCGTAAATTGGTTTAACTTCCTTGTAGATTCTGGGTATTAGTCCTTTGTCAGATGGAGAGATTGCAAAAATTTTCTCTCATTCTGTAGGTTGCCTGTTCACTCTGATGACAGTTTCTTTTGCTGCACAGAAGCTCTTTAGTTTAATTAGATCCCGTTTGTCAATTTTGGCATTTGTTATCATTGCTTTTGGTGTTTTAGTCATGAAATCTTTGTGCATGCCTATGTCCTGAATGGTATTGCCTAGGTTTTCTTCTAAGGTTTTTATGGTTTTAGGTCTTACATTTAAGTCTTTAATACATCTTGAGTAAATTATTTTTGTATAAGGTGTAAGGAAGGGGTCCAGTATTAGTTTTCTGTATATGGCTAGCCAGTTTTCCTAACACCATTTATTACATAGGGAATCCTTTCTCTATTGCTTGTTTTTGTCAGGTTTGTCAGATGGTTGTAGATGTGTGGCATTATTGCTGAGGCCTCTGTTCTGTTCCATTGCTCTACATATCTGTTTTGGTAGCAGTACCATGCTGTTTTGGTTATGGTAGCCTTATAGTATAGTTTGAAGTCAGGTAGTGTGATGCCTCCAGTTTTGTTCTTTTGGCTTAGGATTGTCTTGGCTATATGGGCTCTTTTTTTGGTTCCATATGAAATTTAAAGTAGTTTTTATCTAATTCTATGAAGAAAGCCAATGGTAACGTGATGGGGATAGCAAAGAATTTATAAATTACTTTGGGCAGTATGGCCATTTTCACGATATTGATTCTTCCCATCCATGAGCATGGAATGTTTTTCTATTTGTTTGTGTCCTCTCTTATTTCCCTGAGCAGCAGTTTGTAGTTCTCCTTGAAGAGTTCCTTCACATCCTTTGGAAGTTGTATTCCTAGATATTTTATTCTCTTTGTAGCAATTGTGAATAGTAGTTCACTCATGATTTGGCTCTCTGGTTGCCTACTATTGGTGTATAGGAATGTTTGTGATATTTGCACATTGATTTTGTATCCTGAGACTTTGCTGAAGTTGTTTATCAGCTTAAAGAGATTTTGGGTTGAGATGATGGGGTTTTTCTAAATATACTATCATGTCATCTGCAAACAGAGACAATTTGACTTCCTCTCTTCCTATTTGAATGCCTTTATTTCTTTCTCTTGCCTGATTGCCCTGGCCAGAACTTCCAATACTATGTTGAATAGTAGTGGTGAGAGAGGGCATCCTTGCCTTTTGCCGGTTTTCAAAGGAAATGCTTCCAGTTTTTGCCCATTCAGTATAATATTGGCTGTGGGTTTGTCATAAATAGCTCTTATTATTTTGAGATACTTTCCATCAATACCTAGTTTATTGAGAGTTTTTAGCATTAAGGAATGTTGAATTTTGTCAAAGGCATTTTCTGCATCTATTGAGATAATCATGTGGTTTTTGTCATTGGTTCTGTTTATATGATGGATTACGTTTATTGATTTGTGTATGTTGAACCAGCCTTGCAACCCAGGGATGAAGTAGGCTTGATTGTGGATGGATAAGCTTTTTGATGTGCTGCTGGATTTGGTTTGCCAGTATTTTATTGAGGATCTTCGCATCAAAATACATCAGGGATATTGGCCTGAAATTTTTGTTGTTGTTGTTGTGTCTTTACCAGGTTTTGGTATCAGGATGATGCTGGCCTCATAAAATGAGTTAGGGAGGAATCCCTTTTTCCTACTTTTTGGAATAGTTTCAGAAGTAATGTTCCAGCTCCTCTTTATATGTCTGGTAGAATTCGTCTGTGAATCTGCCTGGTCCTGGGCTTTTCTTCGTTGGTAGGCTATTAATTACTGTCTCACTTTCAGAACTTGTTATTGGTCTATTCAGTGATTTGACTTCTTACTGGTTTAGTCTTGGGAGGGTGTATGTGTCCAGGAATTCATCCATTTCTTCTAGATTTTCTAGTTTATTTGCAGAGAGGTGTTTATAGTGTTCTCTGATGGTAGTTGGTATTTCTGTGGGATCAGTGGTGATATCCCGTTTATCATTTTTTAATGTATTAATTTGATTCTTCTCTCTTTTCTTCTTTATTAGTCTTTCTAATGGTCTATCTATTTTGTTAATCTTTTCAAAAACCTGGATTCATTAATTTTTTGAAGAATTTTTCATGTCTCTATCTCCTTCAGTTCTGCTCTCATCTTAGTTATTTCTTGTCTTCTGCTAGCTTTTGAATTTGTTTGCTCTTGCTTCTCCACTTCTGTTCATTGTGATGTTATGGTGTTGATTTTAGATCTTTCCCGCTTTCTCCTGTGGGCAATTAGTGCTATAAATTTCCTTGTAAACACTGCATTACCAGTGTCACAGATATTCTGATATGTTGTGTCTTTGTTCTCATTGTTTTCAAAGAAATTATTTATTTCTGCCTTAATTTCCTAATGTACCCAGTAGTAATTCAGGAGCAGATTGTTCAGTTTCCATGTAGTTGTGCAGTTTTGAGTGAGTTTCTTAATCCTGAGTTCTAATTTGATTAAACTGTGGTCTGAGAGACTGTTATGATTTCCATTCTTTTGCATTTGCTAAGGAGTGTTTTACTTCCAATTATGTGGTCAATTTTATAATAAGTGCGGTCGGGTGCTGAGAAGAATGTATATTCTGTTGATTTGGGGTAAAGAGTTCTGTAGATGTCTATTAGGTCCACTTGGTCCAGAGCTGAGTTCAAGTCCTGAATATCCTTGTTAATTTTCCGGCTCCTTGATCTGTCTAATATTGACAGTGGAGTGTTACAGTCTCCCACTATTATTGTTAGGAAGTCTAAGTCTCTTTGTAGGTCTCTAAGAACTTGCTTTATGAATCTGGGGGCTCCTGTATTGAGTGCATATATATTTACGATATTTAGCTCTTCTTGTTGCATTGATCCCTTTACCATTATGTAATGCCCTTCTTTGTCGTTTTTGATCTCTGTTGGTTGGAAGCCTGTTTTATCAGAGACTAGAATTGCAATCCCTCCTTTTTTTTTTTTTCCTTTCCATTTGTATGGTAAGTATTCTTCTATCCCTTTATTTTGAGCCTATGTGTGCCTTTGCATGTGAGATGGGTCTCCCGAATACAACACACCAATGGGTCTTGACTCTATCCAATTTGCCAGTCTGTGTCTTTTAATTGGGGCAGTTAGCCTGTTTACATTTAAAGTTAATATCGTTATGTGTGCATTTGATCCTGTCATTATGATGCTAGCTCGTTATTTTGCCCATTAGTTGAGATTGTTTCTCCATACTGTCAATGGTCTTTACAATTTGGTGTGTTTTTGCAGTGGCTAGTAACAGTTTTTTTCTGTCTATATTTAGTGCTTCCTTCAGGAGCTCTTGTAAGGCAGGCCTGGTGGTGACAAAATCTCTCAGCATTCACTTGTCTGAAAAGGATTTTATTTCTCCTTCATTTATGAAGCTTAGTTTGGCTGGATATGAGATTCTGGGTTGAAAATTCTTTCTTTAAGAATGTTGAATATTGGCCCCCACTCTCTTCTGGCTTGTAGGGTTTCTGCAGAGAGACCTGCTGTTAGTCTGATGATCTTCCCTTTGTGGGTAGCCTGACCTTCCTTCTGGCTTCCCATAACATTTTTTCCTTCATTTCAACCTTGGTAAATCTGATGATTATATGTCTTTCTGTTGCTCTTCTCGAGGATTACCTTTGTGGTGTTCTCTGTATTTCCTGAATTTGAATGTTGGCCTGTCTTGGTAGGTTGGGGAAGTTCTCCTGGATAATATCCTGAAGAGTGTTTTCCAACTTGCTTCCATTCTCCCTGTCACTTTCAGGTACACCAATCAAACATAGGTTTGGTCTTTGCACATAGTACCATATTTCTCGGAAGCTATTTTCATTCCTTTTCATTTTTTTTTCTCTAATCTTGTCTTCAGGCTATATTTCATTAAGTTGATCTTTAATTTCTGATATCCTTTCTTCCACTTGGCTATTGATACTTGTGTATGCTTCACGAAGTTCTCGTACTGTGTTTTTCAGCTTCATCAAACTGGTTATTCTAGTTAGCAGTTCCCCTCATTTTTTTTCCAGGTTCTTAGCTTCCTTGCATTGGGTTAGAACACGCTCCTTTAGCTTGCAGGAGTTTGTTATTACCCACCTCCTGAAGCCTACTTTTGTCAATTCATCAGACTCATTCTTTGTCCAGTTTTGTTCCCTTGCTGGCAAGCAATTGTGATTCTTTGAAGAAGAAGAGACATTCTGTTTTTCTGAATTTTCAGCCTTTTTGTGCTGGTTTTTCCTCATCTTTGTGGATTTATCTACCTTTGGTTTTTGATGTTGGTAACTTTCAAATGGGGTTTTTGTGTGGATGTCCTTTTTGTTGATGTTGATGCTATTCTTTTCTGTTTGTTAGTTTTCCTTCTAATAGTTAGGCCTCTCTGCTGCAGGTCTGCTGGAGTTTGCTGGAGTTCCACTCCAGACCCTGTTTGCCTGGGTATCACCAGCGGCAGCTGCAGAACAGCAAAGATTGCTGCCTCTTCCTTCCTCTGGAAGCTTCATCCCAGAGGGCCACCTGCCAGATGCCAGCCAGCACTCTCTTGTATGAGGTGTCTGTTGACCCCTGCTGTGTGGTGTCTCCCAGTCAGGAGGCATGGCGGTCAGGGACCCACTGTAGGAGGCAGTCTGTCCCTTAACAGAGCTCACTTACTCTGCTGGGAGATCTGCTGCTCTCCTCGGAGCCAGCAGGCAGGAAAGTTTAAGTCTGCTGAAGCTGCACCCACAGCCACTGCTTCCTCCAGATTCTCTGTCTCAGGGAGATGTGAGTTTCATCTATAAGGCCCTGACTGGGGCTGCTGCCTTTCTTTCAGAGATACCCTGCCCAGAGAGGAGGAATCTAGAGAGGCAGTGTGACTACAGCAGCTTTGTGGAGCTGCAATTGGGTCTGCCCCGTTTGAACTGCTTGGAGGCTTTGTTTACACTGTGAGGGGAAAACCGCCTATTCAAGCCTTAGTAATGGTGGCTGCCCTTCCCTCCACCAAGCTCTAGTTTTATCTATAAGCCCCTGAGTGGGGCTGCTGCCTTTCTTTCAGAAGTGCCCTGCCCAGAGAGGTGGAATCTAGAGAGGCAGTCTGGCTACAGCAGCTTTGCTGAGCTGCAGCGGGCTCCACTCAGTTTGACCTGCTTGGTGGCTTTGGTTACATTGTGAGGGGAAAATCACCTACTCAAGTCCTCAGTAATGGCGGATGCCCCTCCACCCACCAAGCTCTAGCATCCCCGGTCAACTTCAGACTGCTGTGCTGGCAGCGAGAATTTCAAGTTAGTGGATCTTAGGTTGCTGAGCTCTGTATTGGTGGGATTTGCTCAGCTAGACCACTTGGCTTTCTAGCTTCAGCCCCCTTTCCAGGGGAGTGAACCATACTGTCTTGCTGGCATTCCAGGTGACACTGGGGTATTAAAAAAATCTCCTGCAGCTAGCTTGGTGTCTGCCCAAACAGCCACCCTGTTTTGTGCTTGAAACCCAGGGTCCTGGTGGTGTAGGCACCCGAGGGAATCTCCTCGTCTGCAGGTTGTGAAGACCATGGGAAAAGTGTAGTGTCTGGGCTGGAATGCACCTTTCTTCAAGGCACAGTCCCTCATGGTTTCCCTTGGCTAAGGGAGGGAGTTCCTTGACCCCTTGCACTTCCCAGCCTGAGGCAATACCCCAGCCTGCTTTTGCTCACTCTTCGTGGGTTGCACCCACTGTCTAGCCAGTCCCAGTGAGATGAACCAGGTAATAACTTGCCTTCTGCATTGATCTTGCTGGGAGCTGCAGGCAGGAGCTGATCCTATTCGGCCATCCTGCCAGCCATCCCTCAACAGTATTTTTTAATTTGTTTATTATTGGTGGTTTCTTGTGAATATTATGCATTAATTTGGTAAATACAGGCTCTTTTATGACGGACCATAGTTCTGATTAAATGTAACCCTTATGATAAGCAGAACTTGATTTACCGAGCACATTTGATGAGCCATAATTAAAATTTTGGTAACCAAATTAGATAAAGGAATAAGCAACTCCTCCAGAATGGTGGCTAAATAGGCTTATTTGTGCCCCACTTGTAGAGACACTTTATTTACACAATCATAGAAGCTTGTTTGTGTAATTTTTTGTTGTTGCAAAAATTCGCATTCTATTTGAAAGCATTTTAAGACAACCTGAACATTGGTATGTATAATAATATGTATCTTATTAATAAGTCACTAGGCAAAAGCGAAATGGCTTCTTTGGGCTGAGTTTGAAAAAATATTATTGTAAACAAATTCAGTTCCTGAACAACAATGATTATTAGTTTTATTTACTGCCACTAATTGCTAAAAGAGTTCCCAAATTATTGTCTTATCAAAATCATTTTCTGTTTCAGAATAGCATAACTAAATTGCAGAAAAGAGCTGATCTCCATTTTTTAATGTCAAAGAATATGAAAGTCCAACAACAAGTGAGCACACATAATATTAAGAATATCAAATATTTATGCCAAGTGGAAAAACTAATTCTGATACTTGGCCACACTTTTTATGAGCATGAAAAACATTGTTTGAAAACTTTTCTTTATGTTTCGGTTAATTTTTTTTCCAATCTGTGTAGCCACCTAATTTTCACACACAAAAATAAGTTTTGGGTGCATGGAGAAATCTCTTAGAAATGGGGGAGAGAGAGTACTAACATCAGTATTTATAAACTGATAGAAATATATGAGCTTCAGAGCTGTAGGGAAAGCAGTATTTATTTCTTCATGAAGTATCATTGCAACTAACACCTAAGTAGTATTGTAGTTTATTGATAAATGGAACAAAATGGTTTTTATGCAACAATTAACATTAATATTGACCTTACAATAAGAAGTTTTCATCTTAAAACAGTAAAAACAAAAACTCTAAAAAAAAAAAAGAAAAGGTACACATAGGATTATAAAAAGGTGCACTTTCTAACCCTGAGTATGTACATTTTAGCTAAGATAAATAACTTCTTATGTTTTTTAAAGACAAAAACGTTGATAATTTTAAAAAGTTTAGTTGCATGTTGGTGACATTTTACCACATTTCATACACATCAATTGTGCATTACATTTTTAGAAATTTTAAAACTGCCTTTTTAGTATGATAAGTTCTCTATGCTTTCAAGAGCATATGTTTTTATTCAAAATTAAATAAGGAAGAAATCTAAGTGCTTAAATAAGTTTGTTCAATCAAGAAAAGTCCTTGAACAATGAACAAGCCAAAAAAGATATCAAGAAAACAGTCTCATTCATGATAGTTATTTAAAAAAAAAAAAAAATTCCAGGAATAAATTTAACCAAGTAAGTTTGAAAAATTATAAGAAAAATTATAAGTTAATAATGCAAGAAATTGAAGAGGACACAAAAAGACATCCTGTGCTTATAGATTGGCAGAACTAGTATTTAAAATGAAGATACTACCCAATGCAATCTACAGATTAAATGCAATCTTTATCAAGATACAAGTAACATTCTTCACAGAAATAGAAAGAAAGTTATTAAAATTTGTATAGAACCACAAAAGACCTCACATAGCCAATACAATCCTCAGCAAATTGAACAAAGCTGGAGGTATCACACTAACAGACATCAAAATATACTACAAAGCTACAATAACCAGAATAGCATGGGACTGTCATAAAAACAGACATATAACCAATGAAACAGAATAGAGGATCCAAAAATTGATCCAAATATTGATAGCCAATTGATTTTTGACAAAGTTGCCAAGAACACTCATTGGGGAAAGCACAGTCTCTTCAATAAATGGTGCCAGGGAAACTAGATATCTATATGCAGAACAATGAAACTACACTCCCTCCTCACTCTATACACAAATAAACTCAAACATAGATCAACGACCTAAATGTAATTCTGCAAAAGATAATATACAAGGAACTCAAATGTCTCAACAGCAAAAAAAAAAAAAAAAAAAAAAAACAGTCTGATTAAAAAATGGACAAATAATCTGAACAGATGTTTCCCAGGGGAAGATGTATGAAAGGCTAGAAAATATATGAAAAGATTCTCAGCATCACTAATCATCAGGAAGTTGCAAGTCAGGAGCACAATGAGGTATGATCTCACTCCTGTTAGGTTGGCTATTATTAAAAAGACAAAAAATAACGAGTTTCGTTGAGGATGCAGAGAAAATGAAACTGTTATACACTATTGGTGGGAATGTGGAGTGGCGTAGTGCTAAGGAGAGCATTTTGTAGGTTGCTCAGAAAACTACAAATAGGTCAAGCGCAGTGGCTCACACTTGTAATTTCTGCACTTTGGGAGGCTGAAGCAGGTGAATCACTTGAGGTCAGGAGTTTGAGACCAGCCTGGGCAACATGGAGAAACCCCATCTCTACTAAAAATACAAAAATTAGCTTGGCATGGTGGTGGGCACCTGTAATCCCAACAACTTGGGAGGCTGAGGCAAGAGAATTGATCTAACCCAGGAGGTGGAGGTTGCACTGAGCCCAGATCATGCCACTGCAAAACCAGCTCATGATTCAGCAATCCCACTACTGAAAATGCATCCAAAGTAAAGGACATCATTATATCAAAAAGATGTCTGCACCCTCATTTTTGTTCACAATGACTAAAATATGGAGTCAACATAGGTGTACAGCAAAAGATGAATAAATAAAGGACCTGTGGTATATATACACAATGGAGAGCTATTCAGCCATAAGAGAGACTGAAACCCTGTCATTTGTGGCAAAATGAGTGGAACTAGAGGACGTTATGTTGGGTGACATAAGGCAGAAACAGAGAGTTAAACACCACATGTTCTCACTCATATGTGGAAGCTAAAAAAAACAAGATTTCACAGAAGTAAAAAGTAGAACAGAGAATACTAGAGGCTTTGAAGGGTGTGGGAAAGAAAGAGATAGAAAGAGTTTTGTTAAAGGAAGCAAAATTATAATGAGATAGGAGCAATAATCTGTAGTGTTCTATACCAATGTAGGATGTTAACAATAACATATTATTTTCAAATAACTAGAAGCAGAATATTGAAAATTTCCAACACAAAGAAATAACATATATTTAAATTGATGGATATGTTAACTACACTGATCTGATCACTATACATTATATGTATCAAAATACCACTATGTACTCCATGAATATGTACAATTATTACTTGCCAATTTAAAAAGTAAATTAAAATAAAAATTAAACTTCTAAATTTTGTTTGCAAACATGTTCCCTCTATTTTCTGCTTCTTACCAAATTATTTTCACAAAAACTCTTATTAAAATTAAATCTGGAGGCTTTCTTCAGGTAGTTTCAATGAATCCTAATAAGAAACATCTTTCTGGGCTGGCAAAATGGCTGAATAGGAACACCTCCGGTCTGCAGCTTCCGGCAAGATCAATGCAGAAGAGGGTGATTTCTGAATTTCCAAATGAGGTACACAGCTCGTCTCATTTGAACTGATTAGACAGTGAGTGCAGCCCACGGAGGGTGAGCAGAAGCAGGGTGGGGCATTGCCTTATCTGGGAAGTGCAAGGGGTTGGGGAACTCCCTCCCTTAACCAAGGGAAGCTGTGAGGGGTTGTGCCATGAGGAATGGTGCATTCCGGCCCAGACACTATGCTTTTCCCACAGTCTTCACAACCCGCAGACCAGGAGATTCCCCTAAGTGCCTGCACCACCAGAGCCCTTGGTTTCAAGCACAAAACTGGGCAGCCATTTGGGCAGACAGCTAGCTACAGGAGTTTATTTTCATACCCCAGAGGCACCAGGAATGCCAATGAGACAGAACCGTTCACTCCCCTGAAAAGGAGACTGAAGCCAGGAAGCCAAGTAGTCTGGCTCAGCACATCCCACCCCCATGGAGCCCAGAAAGGTAAGATCCACTGGCTTGAAATTCTCACTGCCACCAGAGCAGTCTGAAGGTAGTTTACACTTACAGTGTAATCAAAGCTGCCTGGAAGTTTGAACTGAGAGGAGGCAACCACAGCTCAGCAAAGCTGCTGTAGCCAGACTGTCTCTCTAGATTCCTCCTCTCTGGACAGGGCATCTCTGAAAGAAAGGCAGCAGCCCCAGTCAGTGGCTTATAGATAAAACTCCCATCTCCCTGGGACAGAGCACCTGGGGTAAGGGGCGGCTGTGGGCGCAGCTTCAGCAGACTTAAACGTCCCTGCCTGCTGGCTCTGAAGAGAGCAGTGGATCTCCCAGAACAGCACTCAAGCTCTGTTAAGGGGCAGACTGCCTCCTCAAGTGGGTCCCTGACAACTGTGCCTCCTGACTAGCAGACACCTCCCAGCTGGAATCGACAGATCCCTCATACAGGGGAGCTCCAGCTGGCATCTGGTGGGTGCCCCTCTGGAATGAAGCTTCCAGAGGAAGGAACAGGCAGCAATCTTTGCTGTTCTGCAGCCTCCACTAGTGATACCCAGGCAAACAGGGTCTGGAGTGGACCTCCAGCAAACTACAACAGACCTGCAGCAGAGGGGCCTGACTGGTAGAGGGAAAATTAACAAACAGAAAGAAATGTAAGGAATAGCCTCAACATAAACAAAAAGGACATCCACACAAAAATCCCATCCAAATGTCACCAACATCAAAGACCAAAGGTAGATAAATACACAAAGATAAGGAAAAGGCAGCGCAAAAAGGCTGAAAATTCAAAAAACCAGAATGCCTCTTCTCCTTCAAAGGATCAGAACTCCTTGCCAACAAGGGAACAAAACCAGGCAGAGAATCAGTTGATGAATTGACAGAAGTAGGCCTCAGAAGGTGGGTAATAACAAACTCCTCTAAGCTAAAGGAGCATGTTCTAACCCAATTCAAGGAAACTTGATAAAACGTTAGAGGAATTGCTAACTAGAATAATTAGTTTAGAGAAGAACATAAATGACTGATGGAGCTGAAAAACACAGCACGAGAACTTCATGAAGCATACACAAAGTATCGATAGCCAAATCGATCAAGTGGAAGAAAGAATATCTGAGATTGAAGACCAACTTAATGAAATAAAGCGTGAAGACAAGAATAGAGAAAAAAGAATGAAAGGGAATGAACAAAGCCTCCAAGAAATATGGGACTATGTGAAAAGAACAAACCTGTGTTTGACTGGTGTACCTAAAAGTGACAGGGAGAATGGAAGCAAGTTGGAAAACACTTTATAGAATATTATCCAGGAGAACTTCCCCGACCTACCAAGACAGGCTAACATTCAAATTCAGGAAATACAGAGAACACAACAAAGATACTCCTCGAGAAAAGCAACCCCAAGACATATAATTGTCAGATTCAGCAAGGTTGAAATGAAGGAAAAAATGTTAAGGGCAGCCAGAGAGAAAGGTCGGGTTACCCTCAAAGGGAAGCCCATCAGACTAACAGTGGATCTCCTGTCAGAAACCGTACAAGCCAGGAGAGTGGGGGCCATTACTTGACATTCTTAAAGAAAAGAATTTTCAACCCAGAATCTCATATCCAGCCAAACTAAGCTTCATAAGTGAAGGAGAAATAAAATCCTTTACAGACAAGCAAATGCTGAGAGATTTTTGTCACTACCAGGCCTGCCTTACAAGAGCTGCTGAAGGAAGCACTAAATATGGAAAGAAAAAACTGGTACCAGCCACTGCAAAAACATATCAAATTGTAAAGATCATCGACACTATGAAGAAACTGCATCAACTAATGGGCAAAATAACCAGCTAGCATCATAATGACAGGATCAAATTCACACATAACAATATTAACCTTAAATGTAAACAGGCTACATGCCCCAATTAAGATACAGACTTGCAAACTGGATAAAGAGTCAAGACCCATTGGTGTGCTGTATTCAGGAGACCCATCTCACATGCAAAGACACACATAGGCTCAAAATAAAGGGATGGAGGAATATTTACCAAGCAAATGGAAAGCAAAAAAAAAAAAGCAGGGATTACAAATCTAGTCTCTGATAAAACAGACTTTAAACCAACAAAGATCAAAAGAGACAAAGAAGGGCATTACGTAATGGTAAAGGGATCAATGCAACAAGAAGAGCTAAATATCCTAAATATGTACGCACCCAATACAGGAGCCCCCAGATTTGTAAAGCAAGTTCTTAGAGACCTACAAAGAGACTTAGACTCCCTCACAATAATAGTGGGAGACTCTAACACCCCATTGTCAATATTAGACAGATCAACAAGACAGAAAATCAACAAAGATATTCAGGACTTGAACTCAGCTCTGGACCAAGTGGACCTAATAGACATCTAGAGAACTCTCCACCGCAAATCAACAGAATAAACATTCTTCTCATCACCACATCACACTTATTGTAAAATTGACCTCATAATTGGAAGCAAAACACTCCTCAGCAAATGCAAAAGAATGGAAATCATAACAGTCTCTCAGACCACAGTGCAATCTAATCAGAATTCATGATTAAGAAATTCACTCAAAACTGCACAACAACATGGAAACTAAACAACCTGCTCCTGAATGACTACTGGGTACATAACAAAATTAAGGCAGAAATAAATAAGTTATTTGAAACCAATGAGAACAAAGACACAATGTACCAGAATCTCTGGGACACAGCTAAAGCAGTGTTTACAGGAAAATTTATAGCACTAAATACCCACAGGAAAAAGTGAGAAAGATCTAAAATTGACACTCTAACATCACAATTGAAAGAAATGGAGAAGCAAGAGCAAACAAATTGAAAAGCTAGAAGAAGACAAGAAATAACTGAGATCAGAGAAGAACCGAAGGAGACAGAGATAAGAAAAACCATTTGGGATTATGTTAAATGACCAAACCCAAGAATATTTGGTGTTCCCAAGGAAGAAAAGAAGTCTAAAAATTTGGAAAACATATTTGAGTATGATGGTTGTTCTTAATTCATTAACTAAAAAGACTCTATGGAATCCATTTCCACCAGAATCACACTAAGGATTAATATCATTCAACAATTTTATTTATGTCTTATATAATGGGATAGACAACTGGATATTTTAAGAGAATTTTTGGAAATGAAAATATTTAATAATAAAGACATTAAAGAAAGTTTGAGCTTTAGACTCCATCATAAACTATCAGTTTCACTTTAGCCAACACATTGTTGTCACATCTTTCTACATGTGCATATTTGAGTATTCAGCATTTTGCCATATGGTTATAAGAATATTCATGAAATACTTTGGGAATTTTTAATGTTTGAAAGGAAGAGGTTTGGTCTATATTTGCACATCTGGCCTTTTTTAAATGTTCTATTTATTTCAAAGAGCAAATATTTTTCAAGCAGCATGGAATATAAGATATTCTAAAAGTCTCTGCAACTAAAAATGAAGTACATCCTGGGTGAATGATCACTGGTATGTACTTTAATTTATTTCTGAGCTCCTTATATATTAGAAAAATCTCTACAAGGAGGGACATGAAAGCACCATCTGAAACTAGAATAGGAATGTATGAACTATATAAGAAAATACAGGGCCAGGCACAATGGCTCATGCCTGTAATCCCAGAGGGTGGATCACCTGAGGTCAGGAGTTCAAGACCACCCTGGCCAACATGGCAAAACCCCGTCTCTACTAAAAATACAAAAAAAACAAATAAATCAAAGAACTAGTTATCTGAAATAGCCACACAAAGAAAGAAAAACATATTTAGATGACCAAAAACTTCAGATTTAAGTAATATCACATACAGAACATAACCTAGCTATGTTTGAAAAAGCTAATAAAATAAATGAATGAATGATGAAATAAAAAAATAAACAAGGAAAAAGAGACCAACAAGGGCAGAAAAATTGGGAAAACAATAGAATTTCTAGAAATGAAAAGTATTCTGATCGGGATAAGATCTCTGTGGAAAAAAATAAAATATCAATTGATGGTTTAAATATTAGTAGATATTAATTATCTACTAATAATTAAATATCTAGATAGACATTTAATTATCTAGATAGATTAAATATCTAGATAGATTAGTAGATTAAGTATCTAGATAGATAGGTATCTTTAGATATATATCTTGGCCAGGCACAGTGGCTCACACCTGTAATCCCAGCACTTAGGGAGACCAAGGCGGGCAAATCACCTGAGGTTGGAAGTTTGAGACCAGCCTGACCAACATGGAGAAACCCCGTCTCTACTAAAAATACAAAATTAACCGGGCATGGTGGCACATGCCTGAATCCCAGCTACTCGGGAGGCTGAGGCAGGAGAATGGCTTGAACCCGGAAGGCGGAGGTTGCAGTGAGTGGATATCACGCCATTGCACTCCGGCCTGGGCAGCAAGAGTGAAACTCCGACTCAAAAAAAAAAGAAGATTATATATATCCAGACTGCAGCACAAAAATATATGGGGATGGAATGTAAGAAAGCCAGGTTAAAAGTAATGACAGTAATGAGAAAGTGTCAATGTACAATTACGTGTCATTTAATGATAGGGATACACTCTGAGAAATGCATCATTAGGAGATTTCATCATTGTGCAAACATTATAAAGTGTACTTAACATAAACCTAGATGTTATATAGTCTAGTGTATAACTAGCCTACATGGTATGGCCTATTGTCCTAGACTACAGACCTGAACAGTGTGTTACTCTACTGAATACTATAGGCAATTGTAAAACATTGGTAAGAAGTATTTGTGTTTCTAAACATATCTAAACATATGAAAGTTACAGTAAAAATATGGTATTATGATTTTATGGGACCACCTTTGCATATGAGGTCCATCATTGGCTGAAATACTGTTATGTGGCCCATGACTGTAAATCTAAAGAGAGTAACAGTAGAAGATAATAGAAAAAAAATGGAGAAGAAATATTAAAAGCAATACTGGTTGCAAATTTTCCAGAATCCAAAAGAAACTTAAATATACAGATGTGTAAGGCAATAAATAAAAAAACAGTTTAAAGAAACTTTTACACACGTCCTGGACAAATGAAGTGTAAATGAATGAAGAAATGATGTGGGAAGCAAAGATAACCATATATTTAAGCTTGCGTGCATTGGTCAACCAGTACCAAATATTTGCAGCCAATGTCATTTCTGTTTGAACCAATATTGTTCCTGATTGATCAAGGCCCATGTCATACCACTTTATGAAGGAAAGAAAGGAAGGAAGTAGAGAGGGATATTAGGAGAGAGTGAGGGAGAAAAGGAGGGAAGGAATGAAGGAAGACAGGGAGGGAGGGAGGGAGGGAAAAAGAAAAGGAAAGGTAAGAAAGAAAAGAAAAAAAGTGTTTAAAACTTGAGAAAAAATGTCCACAATCACTGCGGCAGGAAAGAGGGTGTGAGGCAGAGGTCGTGAACTGAGTCTGAAAATACTCTATCACAAAAATCAACTTTATTTTAATAATTAGATTAAGAATGACATCAAAACTGTGAATGAAGAATATCAGCATGGAGATAGCACATCTCTTACAAACCTGATACCGGTAATACATCACTTCCACTTTCACGAAAGACATAGTGCTATGTTTCACTAAACCCCTACTTTTTTTTTTTTTTTTTTGAGATGGAGTCTCGCTCTGACACCCAGGCTGGAGTGTGGTGGTGCCATCTCAGCTCACTGCAAACTCCAGATCCCGAGTTCAAGCGATTCTCCTGCCTTAGCCTCCCAAGTAGCTGTGATTACAGGCTTCCGCCATCACACCAGGCTAATTTTTGTATTTTTAGCAGAGACGGGGTTTCTTCATGTTGGCCAGGCTGGTCTCAAACTGCTGACCTCAGGTGATCCCCCCCGCCTCAGCCTCCCAAAGTGCTGGTATTACAAGCATGAGCCATTGCGCCCGGCCTTACCCCCTACTATTTTTAACATAGTACCTCACATAGCTTTTGCCAATCAGTTTTGGTACTTGAAATGTTCCTTAGTAAAGATTCTAGATGTAGATAATGATAAAATTAAAACAGTATTTAACAAGATTTATGGGAATAGGCTAAAGCTATCATTAGATTAAATTCATAACCTTATAAATGATATTCCCCCCAAAACAGAATAAATGCATGATGAAACTAATGCAAGAAATTTAAAAAAAAATCAATTCATAATTAAGGAGAGAAGTAGGAAGACATTAATGAATTAGAAAATAGAAAATAAAATTATAAAAGAGAGAAATCCTTTATTAAAATACACAACATATAATCTCTTAATGTCCTAAGATACAAATAAAAAAATATGAGAACAATGTATAAATACAGAAATAGTGGAAATTTAAATTCTTCATTCAAACAACACTGTGAATTAATGAATTAAACCACTTAGAGCAAAAAAGAGAAAAAATAAACTAAATGGAAAAGAATAAACACATTGACAATATGTCACTTTACCCCACAAATACAGGGTAGACCCAGATGTTAACATAAGGCTATTCTTAAAATTACTAAGGAGTAGATAATGTCTATGCTATTTAAACTATTCCACAACACATAGTTGAATGACATCTTCTCATCCTATTTTACTTTAATTCTGTATAAAAAAACCTTGATGATGAAAGCAAAAAATGAGAAAATAAGCCACATAAAATCTCAAAAATATTAATGCAAATATGGTCTAGAATACATTAAGAGACGTGTAAATAAATCTTACCAGCCAGAAAAAGTATAATTTAACAAATATGATTGAGAATATATCAAAGGACAAAACAACATAACTGGCCATATTAATCAGCCAGTTATCAAAAAATATCTTGACATTAAAAGGGCTTTTTAAATGAGAATGTGAATAATAGAAATGTAAAATGGCATGGCATGTTGTCAAAGACTAAAGAAAAATAGAAATAATTAGTGTCGGTCAAGAAATGTGAAGCGTAAATTTATATACCCGAAAACATTTTAGTATAATAGTATTTAAAATTGGGTTAGATTTGAGCAAGCAATACTCTTCAAGGAATTTATATTAGTGGTCATTGATCACATATGAAAATATCTATATGCCAAAAATGGCCACAGAAAAAAATAATAGAAAAAAGATAAGAGCCTAAGCATCTATTGGTAATCATTGAAAAGAGATTTAGAATATATATATATATATCTGTATAGCTATGAAAACTATAGGCTTTAAAAATAATAAAATAGATTTGTGTTACTGATATCTAAGTTATATATCAAAAATAATTTAATGCTTAAAGGCAAAATGCATGACAGTTTGTGTAGTGTGAAGCTATTAATATAAAATTGCACTTGGGTATCTCTGTAGAGGAAGAAAATATGTAGATAGATAGGGACGGAGAAAGAGAGAGAGAGATTAATATCAATTGATATTTAGAACTATATTTTCCAAAGTGTTTTTAGTAGTTACCCTAGGTGCTAGAAGTTAGGGGGATTTTTGTTTTCTTCATTATGTTTTTCCGTATTAAATTTTTATAATGAACATATATACATGTACACTAAAATGTCTGGTCTATATTGTGCAGCTAAATTGTTTTTTTCTCAGAGGATACTTGGGTAAACGGAGGGCAAATTCTTTGAAGCTTCATATCTTCTTTGTTCTATAACTTCCATACCATATAACACTGTAATTTTGGGGTGTTCAATAAATAGTCACTGAACAGTCATGGTACACAAAGAATAGCTCCAAATGATTGCTAAAACCCCCAAAAGCTGAACTAGAATTCAGAGTGATCCTAAACATTAGTAATGTATTTTTTCCAAATAAGACTGACCTCTGAAATGACATACAAAATAAAATGAATAATAATAAAATGAAAAACACTATCATTTACATAAAATATAAATTAACATACTTATCTGTACATAATTATTGTACAGATAAATTAAATGTACAAATATGTTTTAAAAGCTAAATAGAAAAAAGTATATATGGAAGTCTGAAAGAGAGTTAGCCTCATCCTCAACATACATACACACAAACACACACAAAAACACAAACAAATTTTTTTTTATAAAAGTTAGATGTCTAGCCAGGCGCAGTGGCTCACGCCTGTAATCCCAGCACTTTGGGAAGCCGAGGCGGGCAGATCACCTGAGGTCAGGAGTTTGAGACCAGCCTGATCAACATGGGGAAACATCGTCTCTACTAAAAATACAAAATTAGCCGGGCGTGGTGGCACATGCCTGTAATCCCAGCTACTCGGGAGGCTGAGAGGCAGAAGAATCGCTTGAACCCGGGAGGCGGAGATTGCGGTGAGCCGAGATCGCGCCATTGCACTCCAGCCTGGGCAACAAGAGCGAAACTGCATCTCAAAAAAAAAAAAAGTTTAAGATGTCTAAGAACCTTGTTTTCCTTAAAGAAACAAAGCTGAACTAAGAAGCTAGTATTTGTGTTATTCATTTAATATCTGCCAAGATGGCTAATATAATCTTCAGATCTTCAAATAGTACGTAGACTAAAAAACAAAAAATATCAAGTTTATTACCTGTAATGAGAAAATTGTCACTGTTTTCTCTATTTATTCTAATTCTTCTTTCAAAGCATGTTTTTTCAAATCAGTATTTAATTTTAAAACTAATTCATATTCTGAGGATAGGAAAGAGGAAATTTAGTCCTTAGAGGTCTTAATGTAATATGATTATAAATTTATATTTTCAATTTTTAAAATTAAAAATATTAAATTAAAAAATATTGCTCCGATGTATATTTATGTTTATATGATTTTCAGTATTTAATTTTAAAACTAATTCATATTCTGAGGATAGGAAAGAGGAAATTTAGTCCTTAGAGTTTCTTAATGTAATATAAGTTTATATTTTCAATTTTTAAAATTAAAAATATTAATATTGCTCCAATGTATATTTATGTTTATATGATTTTCAGTTTAGTTGTTAGTTATGCATCTTATAGCTTAAAACATGTGAAGATTCTGAAATGGAAGCAAAGAAGTAATTTATGTCATTAGGCATGTAAAAATTATTCAGAGAATTATAACTAGCTAGTACACACATTGATCAAAGAAAGAAGAAGAAGAAAGAAGTTTCAGATGTCACTTATAAAATTTAGGGTGGATATAAGAAAGTATTTTATTTATGTGTTTAATTTTTGTGGATACATAGTAGGTATATATATTTATGGAATACATGAGATATGATACAGGCATACAATGCATAATAATTACACCAGAGAAAATGGAATATTCATCAACTCAAGCATTTATCCTTCGTGTTACAAAAAATCTAATTATACTCTTAGTTATTTTAAAATGTACAATTAATTTTTTACCATATTCACCGTGTTATGCTACCAAATACTTGGACTTATTTATTATTTCTAACTATTTTTGTATCCGTTAATCATTCTCACTTACCCTCCACCCTCCCACTACCCTTCATAGCTTCTAGTAATCATCTTTCTACTCTGTATCTCCATGAGTTCAATTGTTTTGAGTTTTAGATCCCACAAATAAGTGAAAACATGTAATATTTGTCTTTCTGTGCCTGGCTTATTTCACTTAGCGTAATGACCTCCAGTTCCATCCATGCTATTGCAAATGACAGGATCTCATTTTTTTGTAATGGCTAAATAGCACTTCATTGTGTATACATAACGCATTTTCTTTATTCATTCATCTGTTGATGGATATAGGTTGCTTCCAAATCTTGGCTATTATAAATCATGCTGGAATAAATGTGAGAGCCCAGATATCTCCTCAACATACTGATTTCCTTTCTTTTGAGTATATACCTAGGAGCGGGATTGCTGGATTGTATGGCAGCTCTTTTTAGTTTTCTGCTTAACCTCCACACTGTTCTCCACAGTGATTGTACTAACTGTAATTCCCACCAACAGATAAAGGTGATTAAAAACAAATAAAAATGGATTTTTACAGGGTTTTTGAATAAAACAGAATATATTTTTTCATTTTTTCATTTTTTTTTAAATTTTATTTAATACATTTTTAAGCCACAGAAAAAATGTAAGAAGTGTACATCTTTCACCCAGTTTCACCATTTTGCTTGATTTCTTTCTTTCTCCTTTGTATATTTGTGCATGCATGTATTTGTGACTCTGTGTGGGCTTAAATATATAAATATATGTAAGTATATATAATTAATATATATGAAAGTGTATATAACTAATATATATAATTATTTTTTCTCAAGCCATTGAGAGTAATTTGCAACTTTCATGACACTTTATCCCTAATACTGCTAGCATCTGTCTTCTAAGAGCAAGGATATTGTTTTACATAACTATTATACAATTTCAAATAAAGAAAATTTAAACATAGTATAAGGTATTGACAACTCGACAGTTTATAAAAATTTCACTGATTTTCCCAATAATATCTTTAAAATATGATTTTTTTAATTCATGAATCAATTCAGGATTGAGCATTGCATTTAGTTGTCATGCTTTCTTTTGTCTCTATTAATTTAGAAGACTTCTCCAAACATTTTTTTTCTCATGGCATTAACATTTTTAAAAAATTCAGAGCTGTTTTGTAAATTGCTCTCACTTTTGATTTGTCTGATTGTTTTCTCATGATTAGAGTGAGCTTGTGTGTTTTTAGCCAGAACCTCAGAGAAGTCATGTATATTTTCCTCATGGCATCACATCATGAGGCACAGGACGTCAATTTGTTCTAATACTGATTTTAATACTGATTAACTTTTACCACTTCATTGCAGTTGTGTCTATTATATTTCTCCCACTGTAATGGAATCTCTTCCTCCCCTTTGTAATTGGTAAATAATCTCTGGAAAAATCCCTAAATTATATACCCCTTATTTAACCTAGAGAATGGTTACTTTTAGAAATAGTAAGCTCCACGTGCCATAGTCTAGAAAAAACTAAATCAAAGAGTGCTCCATACATAAGATGATCTTAAAAATTGAGAAACCTCATGTTTCCATTGGAATAGATAACACCTTGGAATATATAATATCAACAAAAACGTATGAAAATATCCCAGTGCAAAAGCAGGAAAAATTTGCTACAAATATGTTACATGAACATATACAAAATGCTATGGACTGGAAAAGTCCCAAGTTATTCTTCAAGAAAGGATCCTGTGAGTTCTGAATAATATAATTTCCATATAATAGAGATCTAGCTAGTGAATATTCCAGCTAGTGTAATAAACTCCCTTATATTTTCTTAGAGAGATAAAATATGAATGAGCAGAAAAGAGAAAGTGTGGTTTCTTCAGATATTAAGAATATTTGAAAAGTTTCTGTGTAAGAAGTTATTAAAAATGAGTCAGCATGGAAATTTAAAAACAAGATATTTGAGTTTATCCTCATATTTGCTTCAAGAGCCAAAAAATCGACAGGAGTATTAATACAGCAATTAGTTAGTGAGAAAGATGACAGTGGTAGCCACAGGGGATTGGTTACACAGAGGAGGAGTAACTAGGTAAGTAAATATATTTACATGACCCTTATTTCTCCTTGCTGAAAAAGAGAATTAGAAATAAGAAAAGAGATAATATTAGACTGAACCCTGTGGTGGTGAGGTTTGGGATTGAATTAGCATCCAGATATCAGTTTCAAAACACCATTTTCCTCTAAAAAGAACCAGAATTTCTTGGAGCAAGGATAATTCTAGATCTGGGGCACGGAGAGCACAAGAAAATCCTCATACATATTCTGATTCTGGTAAAGAAGGACATGCTTAAGAAATGATGGGGATGTATCAAAAGGATATTGGAGCCAGTTTAAAGGGTCTCCTACTGCTGAATCAGACAATTTGAGCATTAAAATAAATAATTATTGTAGCATATTATAACCCATTAAATAAATTACAGAATTATGAAACCATAACTATATAAATTAATAAAGAATAAATCAAACATTAGATAAAGAATGGGATATTTACATCCATTAAATTATTAAAATACTTTATGATTACAAAGAGGTAAAAACACAAAGTTTACAGTGGAGAAGTCTTGTGAATACTCTATTAAATGATCAAAATAAACATCATTAGTGATAAAACTAATTAAAATGGCATGCCACCTCATTGATCACAGTAAAAAGAAAACAATATCTCTCCCAGGATAATGCTACAAAAGATACATGGCCTGAATCAAATTATAAGAAACCATCAAATAAACCCAAATCGAGAGACAAACTACAATGTAACTTGTCTGTACTTTTCCATAGTGCCAAGATCATGAAAACCAAAGAAGGAGAATAAGGAAATATGATAAATAAAGTGAATGTGTATATTCTGAAACGAATCATTTCACTAGAAAGGGTGTTATTTGGACATTTGACACAACTTCAATGGGGTCTGATGATTAGCTGTTAGGATTGTGTTTAGGTTAATTTCCCAATGTTGATAGTTGTACTGTGATCCATTGTCCTTGTTGATAGGAAATCTGCACAAAACAAGAGCTGGGGTTCATGGGGCATCATCAGTCAGCATTTCACTCTCAAATAGATTATAGAAAAAGTTATTTGTACTATACTTGCAAATTTTCTTTAAGCTTCAGGTTGTTTCATAATTTTAAAAAAGCACAAGACATCTATCTGAATAGATCATATTTTCCTTATTTAAACACTTTTGGCAAATTATTGCAATCATTTTTGTTGCTTATTTTATTTCAGTATGTGAAGAAGAAAAGGATAAACATGCATTTTAAGAATGCAATAAAGGTTTCAGACAGGAGTATAGTTTGAATATTCAATGTACAGCTCTAAGATTAAAATAAGCATGGAAACTTTTGGTTAAGTAAGCTTGATGGGTGCCCAAAAATAGTCTCAAGAGGATAATTTGACCAAAAGATAACTTATTGAAAACTTCCAGGCAAATTTTTTTTTAAAAAATGAAAGATATTTTTAAGTTGATAATTTATAAACTATCCCTATTAAAATAATATAGAATAAAGTAAATTAAGCCATTTTGATTTATCTTCCTCCCTCTGCCTTTTCTGTTCTTATTGTTATAATAAATTCTGGTTCTTATCATTACAATATTCAAATGTCCCAGCACTAGTACAGTATGTAGCAGAAAGGCAGTTTTCATATTTTCTCCTAGAGGTTGTGAGAACATGCAAATGAATGATGTGTGAATTGCATGTATTGATGTAAGCCATCTTACATCCCCTCTGAAAAAATATTGGATCAAAATTACAAAAGCAAGTATATTAACAAATAAAGAAAGAAACTTTGGAGATGCCTGGTACATAAATATTTTATTAAGACTAATGTCAAGCAAAGATATTGGAAAAGAATAAAGGAACATAGCATATAACCTGCTAAAAGAGAAGGATCAAATCAGAATATATTTCAATGGGCTTAAATCTCAGAGATTTAGCTTATCTAAAAGAAATATGGGGATTCACAGAAAAGCTGGAACATTTGATTTCACACTGAAATTGCAAAAAAAAAATGTAGAAAAGTGATAGCTTTGGACATAACTGAATCTATAAGGAAACAACAATTATATAGTTATATATAGTGACTATACATGGGAGTTAGAAAATAATAAATAAGAAAAGCAATGCAGATTATAATTATAAAGAAGGATGAAAACACTAAATCAGAACTAATTGCTTTTTTTTTTTTCTTTTTTTTAAGATGGAGTCTTGCTCTGTCGGCCAGGCTGGAGTGGCGATCTCGGCTCACTGCAAGCTCCGCTTCCCGGAGCTTGCCATTTTCCTGCCTCAGCTTCCGGAGTAGCTGGGACTACAGGCGCCCGCCACCACGCCCGTCTAATTTTTTGTATGTTTTTTAAGTAGAGATGGTGTTTCACCGTGTTAGCCAGGATGGTCTCGATCTCCTGACCTCGTGATCCGCCCGCCTCCGCCTCCCAAAGTGCTGGGATTACAGGCAAGAGACACCGCGCTCGGCCAACTAATTGCTTTTTTTAAGAGGGTGGAAGACAGCAGGTTATCTGGTCCTGACGACAATACATAGAATAAAAAAACAAAGGAATAAAATAAAGACAAAAATACAAAATTGAACTTGTAAGGGAAAATGTATGTTAAACTAAAAGGAAGTTTGCAAAGATGCTGATCTTTAAAATTTATATATATTAGAAAGGGCATCCACTTAAAATGAAAATATTTGTTAGAGGATTAAGTCATAAAATTATTTTTAAGAACAATCCCCGTGCCCACTTTTAAACAACAACAACAAAAAAGCTGGTTCAGTAGCAAGAATATTTGGTAAGTTAATCATAAAAGATAAATAATAGTTTCAGATCATTTTTCGCAAAGGAAAAGGAAGAAAAGATAAATAAGTAATACAATGAGGAAAATCTCTTGGGCTCCGTAGGACTACACAATCATAAATATTAGTTAACAATTTTTAAAGACGGCAGTATGTGAAGAATCAAGGAGTAATAAAATAAGAAAAGTAAAATATAGAATATTTGGATTCACGAAATGATAATATGAGCTTTAACCACAACAAAACACAACTTCATGAAACATTATTTCCATTGTGAATGATGAATGATGCAATGATTGTGTCTAAGGAAAGCATTATTGTCTGATTCACATTGCAAGTAAAACAAATGCTAATTTACTATGCATCACTGCTATTGTTGTCAGTGGGCCAGTTCAAGTTCTTGATTTAACCGCACAAAACAATTTGAGAGCAAATTCAAAGTAAGAGTAGGCAGAGAAGCTTATTGTAAACAGAAAGCATACTCTGAGAGTATGCTGGCTGCCAAAGGGAGAGACAGCAGCTATCGCCTTAAGAGGAATTCCTTGTATGGGATTTGTACATACATACCTACATATTTATTTATTTATTTATGCTTATTTGTATTTGTTCTTTTAACTTTTATTTTAGATTCAGGGGTACATTTGCAGGTTTGTTGTATAGGTGAACACATGTCATGGGGGTTTGGTGTACAGATTATTTTATCACCGAGATACTAAGACTAGTACCTGATAGATCTTTTTTTTCTGACCCTCTCCCTCCTCCCACCCTCCACCCTCGAGTAGGCTCCAGTGTCTGCTGTTAGCCTCTTGGTTTCTATGTGTTGTCATTATTTAGCTTCTACATATAAGGGAGAACAAGTGGTATTTGATTTTCCATTCCTGCATTAGTTTGCTAAGAATAATGGTCTCCAGCTCTACCCAAGCTACTGAAAAGAAAATTATGTCATTCTTTGTATGGCTGCATAGTATTCCACGGCCTATAGGTACCACATTTTTCTGTCCAGTCTACTGTTGATGTGCATGCGTTTAGGTTGCTTAAATGTCTTTGATATTGGGGATAGTGCTGCGATGAACACACACATACGTATGTCTTTATGGTAGAACAATGTATTATATTCCTTTGGGTATATAGCCAGTAATGAGTTTGATGGGGAAAATGATAGTTCTGTTTTTAGGTCTTCGAGGAATCAGCATACTCTTTTCCACAATAATTAAACTAATTCACACTCCCAACAGCAGGGTAAAAGTGATCCCTTTTCTCTGCAACCTTGCCAGCATCTGTTATTTTTTGTCTTTTTAATGATTAGCCATTCTTACTGGGTGAGATGGTATCTCATTGTGGTTTTGATTTTTATTTCTCCAATGATCAGCGATACTGAGCTTTTGTTCATATGCTTCTTGGCCACATGTATGTCTTCTTTTGAAAAGTGTCTGTTTATGTCCTTTGCCCACTTTTTAATGTTTTTTTGTTGTTGTTGTTTGTTTGTTTGTTTTTGCTTATAAATTTAAGTTCTTTCTAGATACTGGATATTAGACCTTTGTCAGATGAGAGTTTGCAAAATTTTCTCCCATTCTGTAGGTTGTCTGTTACTCTGTTCATAGTTTCTTTTGCTGTGCAGAAGCTCATTAGTTTAATTAGATCATATTTATCAATTTTTGCTTTTGTTGTAATGGCTTTTGGTGTCTTTGTAATGAAATCTTTGCCAGTTTCTATTTCCAGAATGGTATTTCCTTGGTTATCTTATGTTGATTTTATAGTTTTAGCTGTTACATTTAACTCTTTAATCCATCTTGAGTTGATTTTTATGTATAGTGTAAGGAAGGGATCCAGTTTCAATCTTCTGCACATGGCTAGCCAGTTATCTCAGCACTATTTATTGAAGAGAGTCCTTTCCCCATTGAATGTTTTTGTCACCTTTGTCAAAGATGAGATCATTGTAGGTATGTGGCATTATTGCTGGGCTGTCTGTTGTGTTCCATTGTTCTCTGTGTCTGTTTTTTTGTTTTGTTTTGTTTTGTTTTACCAGTACCATGCTGTTTTGGTTACTTTAACCCTGTAGTATAGTTTGAATTTGGGTAACATAATGCCTTCACCTTTCTTCTTTCTGCTAAAGATTGATTTGGCTATGCAGGCTTCTTTTTTGTTTCATATGAATTTTAAAATAGCATTTACTAATTTTGTGAAGAATGTTATTGGCAGTTTGATAAGAATAACTTTCGAATCTGTAAGTTGGTTTTGGCACTATGGCCATTTTAAAGATATTAATTCTTCCTACCCATGAGCATATATTTTTTTAAATTTGTTTGTGTTGTCTCTGATTTCTTTGAGCAGTGGTTTGTTATTTTTATTGTAGAGATCTTTCACCTCCCTGGTTAGCTGTATTACTAGATATTTTATCTAATTTGTGGCAATTGTGAATGTGATTGTGTGCCTGATTTGGCTCCTGGCTTGGATGTTGTTGGAGTACGGGAATGCTACTGATTTCTATATGTTTATTTTGTATCTTTAAATGTTGCTGAAGTTGTTTATCAGCTCTCAGAGCTTTCGTGAAGAGACTATGGGGTGCTTTAAGACATAGAATCATGTCATCTGCAAAAAGGGATAGTTTGACTTCCTCTCATCCTATTTGGATGTCTTTTAGTTTTTCTTCTTTTCTGATTGCCTGGTCAGGACTTTTGTACTATGTGGAATAGTGGTGGTGAAAGAGGGTATCCTTGTCTTGTGCTGGCTATAAATCAAAATGCTTTCAGCTTTTGCCATTCAGTATGATGTTGGCGGTGGGTTTGTCATAGATAGCTCTTATTATTTTAAAGTATGTTTCTTTAATGCATAGTTTATTGATCATTTTTTTACATGAAGGGATTTTGAATTTTATTGAAAGCCATTTCTGCATCTACTGAGAAAATCATATGTATTTTTCTTTAGCACTGTTTACGTGATGAATTAAATTTAGTGATTTTTGTATGTTGAACCAACATTGCATCTCAGGGATAAAGATTACTGGATCATGGTGGATTAGCTTTTTGATATGCTGCTGGAGTTGATTTGCTAATATTTTGTTGAGAATTTTTGCATCTATGTTTATCAAGAATATTGGCCTTAAGTTTTCATTTTTGTGTGTGTCTCTGTCCGGTATTGATATTGAGATGATGCTGGCCTCATAGAATGAGTTAGGGAGGGGTCCCTCCTCATTTTCTTAAGAATAGTTTCATTAGGAATGGTACCAGCTTTTCTTTGTATACCTGGTATAACTTGACTGTGAATCCATGTGGTTCTAGGCCTTTTTGGGTTGTTAGTACATTTATTACTATTTTAATTTCAGAGCTTTATATTGGCCTATTCAGGGATTCAGTGTTTTCTGTTTCAGATTTTGAAGGGTGTATGTGTCCAGGAGTTTACCTGTTTCTTCTAGATTTTCTAGTTTTTGTGCATAGAGGTGTTCATGGTAGTCTCTGATAGTTATTGGTATTTCTGTGGGGTCACTGGTAATGGCTTCATTCTTTCTAATTGTGTTTATTTTTATCTTCTCTCTTTTCTTCTTTATTAGTCTAACTAGTGGTCAGTCTTATAATTTATTTTCTAAAAACCAACTCTTGGTTTTGTTGATTGTGCATGGATTTTTAAGCCTCAGTCTCCTTCAATTCAGCCTTATTTTGGTTATTTCTTGTCGTTTTGTAGCTCTGGGGTTGGTTTTCTCTTGCTTCTTTACTTCTTCCAGTTGTGACGTTAGGTTGTTAATTTGAGATCTTTCCAACTTTCTGATGTGGGTGTTTCTTGTTATAAATTTCCCTTTAACACTGACATAGCTGTTTCCCAGAGATTCAACTATCTTGTCTCTTTGTTCTCATTAGTTTCAAAAAACTTGATTTCTGCCTTAATTCCATTATTTACCCAAAAGTCAATCAGGAGGAGGTTGATTAATTTCCATGTAATTGTATGGTTTTGAGCAATTTTCTTTGTATTGAATTCTATTTCTATTGTGCTGTGGTCTGAGAGTGTGACTGGTATGATTTCATTTTTTTAAAATTTTATGAGGATTATTTTATGTCTGATTATATGGTCAAGTTTGGTGTATGTGGTATGTGGTGATGAGAATAATGTACAATTTGTTGTTTTTGGATGAAGAGTTCTGCAGATGTCTATTAGATCCATGTGGTCAAGTGTTGAGTTCAGGTCCTGAGTACCTTTGTTATTTTTTTGCTTGGTTCTGTCTAATACTTTCAATGGAGTGTTGAAGCCTCCAACTAGTATTGTATGGATATCTAATAAGGAGCTTATTTCTCCTTCACCTACTAAGTTTATTTGGCTGAATATGAAATTCCTTGTTTAAGATTTTTTCTTTAAGAATGTTGAGTACAGGCCCCTCATCTTTTCTGGCTTATAGAATTTCTGCTGAAAGATCTGCTGTTAGCCTGATGGGGTTCTCTTTGTAGGTGACTTGCCCTTTGTAACTGCCTCTAATATTTTTTCTTTCATTTTGTCCTTGGAATGCCTCATGATTAGATGTCTTGGTGATGGTCTTCTTGTGTAGTATCTTGTAGGGGTTCTCTGCATTTCCTGAATTTGAATGTTGGCCTCCCCAGCGAGTTTGTGAATGTTTTTATGGACAATATCCTGAAATATGTTTTCTAAGTTGCTTGCTTTCTCCTCATTTCTTTCAAGTACATACTCCAATAAGTCATAGATTTTATCTCATTATGTAATCCCATATTTATCGGAGGTTTTGTTTGTTCCTTTTTATTTTATTTTTTTCATTTTTATTTCTGTCTTATTTCAGAGAGCTTGTCTTCAAGCTCTGAGTTTATCTCTGCAGCTTGGTCTAGTCTGCTGTTCATACTTGCAATTTCATTATGAAATTCTTATAGTGTGTTCTTAGCTCTATCAGACTAGTTTGGTTCTTTTTTAATACTAACTGTTTTATCTATAAGATCCTCCATCATTTTTTGTGATCCTTTTCTTCCTTGGATTGATTTTCATGTTCTCCTGAATCTCAATGATCTTCATTTCTATCCACATTCTGAACTCTACTTCTGATATTTCAGCCATCTCAGCTCAGCTGAGAACCCTTGCTGGGAACTGCTGTAGTCATTTTGAGGAAAGGAAACACTTTGGCATTTTGAGTTGCCAGTTATTGTGTTGGTATTTTTCTCATCTGCACTTGTGGGTGTTTCTTTAACTGCAGTGTAAATTGACTAGTCAGTACACTCCTTTTCTTGGTGTTTTTTCAGATGGTTGAGGCTCTGTACATGGCCTTTATCAGAAACTGAATTCTTGTCTTTGGTTTCAAAGGAAGGTATGCTTAGAATGTAGTTTTGGTGTTTAAGTTTTGGTGTGTGATCCAGTAGGTGCTGCTTAGGCATAATGGTTAGTAAGTAAGTGCTGGTTCTGTTATGTGACTCCTGTTTTTCTTTTTCTTTTTTCTTTTTTTTTTTTTCTCTTGATTGCAGCTATATTCTCTCTTAATGCTCTGAAAATGTGGTCTCCTCTCCCATTTGAGTGCTGGTTACAGATCTCAGCTTAGCAGTTTCGGGCTGCACACCCAAGCCCTGGAATAATCTCAGGCTTCATTTTTCCTCCCCAGCTTGGAAGCAGCAGGGAAAGGGAGCTTAGCAGCAGTTGTGGTCAATGCTACTCCACTTGTTCTGGGGCTCCAACCAAGAGAGATGTAAAGCTTCAGTCAATCAGTGTGATTGGCTTAGAATGGGGTGGCTGCACTGTGGGCCCAAACTGGGGTCACTTCCTGGTGATAAGCAGTGGAGTGTGTGTGATCTGTGGGAGACAGCCTGGCCTCTCCTTAGGGCAACTACAGCTTGCTTGAGGTATGGATAAGGCACTCAGGATCTTTGCTGTTTCCTTAGTCCAAGGGCAGCATGGGCAGTTTCACTGGAGAGGCAATGGCAAAAGGGATTTCTGTCTTCCCTGGGAGCTCCACCTATGAGAAAGGCAGAGCCATTGCTACTGGGAGTATTCAGCCAGTGAATGGGGGTAGCTTTACTGCTGGCCTGAGCTAGGGGCTGTCATTGTCAGGGAGAAGGGAGTCTAGGGCTTACAGAGAAGAGAGACAGGGTTGTTCTCCATATGTTGGCTGAGATGTGCTGTAAGCCCAGGTGAAGCCCTCAAGCTCTTTGTTTCTTCTGCCGACTGAGGTCAGATGGGACAGATCCACTGCTGTGGCAGTGGCAGAGGGGCTGTCAGTTGGCTCTGGGAGCTCCTACCCACAGCAACTCAGAGCCACTACCAGTGGGTATGCTCAGCAATGGTTGGGGTGGCTGTTCTGCATTCCTGAGCCAGGGGACCTACCTGGTGAAGAGGGGGCATGGGGGCTCCCAGGGAAGAGAGACTGGACTCCTCTATGTATGCTGGCTGCACTGTACTGGAGGTGCCAGTGTAATGACTATTGTCTTTGTTCTTTTCCCAGCTTGAAGGCAATTAAGGCAGTACTACTGCAGCTGCAATGGTGGAGGGGCTGTGGATTGAATCTGGGATTTCCTCCTTGGAGAAGGCAAGGACAGGGGTTAGGCTGGAGTCCCAGGTCAGGAGGTCCTGCACAGTGAGGACAAGTGTGGACAGGGACCTGCATGGGGAACAGTCAGGCCACTTTTCTGTGGGGCAGCTGCACTGCACTGGGGGTCTGTGCCGAGTTCTAGTCGCCATGGATTCTCCAGAGGCCGAAGGCAACAGTGGCAAAGTATGTAAATAAGTAAAGATGGCAACCCACTCCTCCCTTTGGGATCTCTGTCTCAGGGAGGTTCAGAGCTGCTGATGGCCCAAGAACTCCAGCAAGGAATGGCTGGATTCTCAGATCTGGAGGTCCTGGTCAGTGAGGAGAACGGGGATAAAGGCCTGCATTAAAAACAGTCTGGATGCTTTTTTGTAAGGCAGCTTCAATGTGTTGGGGGTCCCAGAAAGACCCTAGTTACCTCAGAATCTCCAGAGCATGAAGGTAACAGACAGAAAAGCATGAGAGCTAACAAAGATGACATCCCACCCCTCCCTCTGGGAACTTTGTCCCAGGGAAGTGTGGAGCTATTACTGGCCTCAGAGTTCCAGTAGGAGGTGGCTGGAGTCCCAAATTAGTGGTCTTTATTCTCTGAAGTAGAGTGGAAGCAAAGCCTTCAGACTGGCGCTGCTTAGCCCTTCGGGTTCAGCCCCTTTCCCCAGGGTATGTAAGGGAGCCTAACCTCCCCCTTTGCTGGAACTGCAGCTACTAATGCTGTGAAGCCCAGGATCCAAGGCTCCCAGGACACTGTGTGTGCTTGAGTGGTGGCTCTATCCAGACTCCACATAGCTCTTCATAGCAGTCTGAAGGCCCTGGTTGAGTGGGCTCCTGAGAGAATCTCCTGACCCAACAGTGGCAAAGATACATAAAAAAAGTGTGGGTCCCTGAGATTTCTCACTCACTTGCCATTTCCCCATGGCGGGGACTCCCTTGGCTCAGTGCCACTTCTTTGTTGGCAGTTGTTCAGTCTTGTTTCTCTCCATTCTCTGTGGGTCAAGTTGTTTTCTTAATGAATCCCATTGTGTTCACCTGAATGTTTTAGTGGAAGGTATAGTATTTACTCACTACTGTTTCTTCTCTCCATGAGGACGGCACACATTAGCTGCTTCTAGTCAGCCATATTGACCCTCTCCCTACATATTTATAAAATACTGGTGAGGTAAGTTATGCAAAGGCAGATCTGCAGTTGGCACATGCACTCAGCGTCTACAAACTCTAACATACATCACATGTGTTATTAGCATATAAAACCTGCACCTAAAGGTGTGTTTTACTGTTAAAATGAGAAAACAGTCACTATAAGCTAAACCTTGAGCCCAGCTGAGCAAGTAGGACAAAGAAAGAAAAAGAAAATTCTTAGCTCCAAGGCAGAAATTTGTAGCTATTAATTTCTTGGGATTCTTGTGCAGATTGGCTGGATATTGGAGAAGATACATCAGGAATAAGGAGTTTTTGTTCTTTTTCCTGGACCTATATCAGGTATCAGAACCTTGTAACTATCTTGCACTCTGCTGGTATCCTGTGGGACTGCTTATCTTGCAAAAGAGTTAGGTGCTGACACAGAAGGGTGCTAGGGATGGAGCCTGCAGGGCTTCAAACAAGGGATCCAGTCAGTATTGCCATCTAACCTAACTTATTCTGCCCCATTATGAAATTCAAGATGTATCAATATTAAAATAAATTTTCATTGTTTATATTTCGTGTGTATAATGAAAAAAATACATATTCCCCCAAATAAATGTGAGCTGTGAGCTTTATGACTACATATATAAACAACACTCAAAACAATATTGTTGCCAATATTAGCTAGTGTAAACTGAAAAGTATCTGAGACAGAACCTAACACATATTTACAGAATATCCTACCAAAGAGCTACAGAATATGAATTCTTCTCATCAGCACATAGAACATTCTTTGAGATACATCATATGATAGGCCACAAAACAAGTCTCAATAAATTTAAAAAAATTAAAATTATATCAAATATCTTCTCAGACCACAGTAAAATAGAATAAAAAATCAACTCCAAAAGAAACCACAAATCCATGGAAATTAAACAATCTCCTCCTAAATAATTTTTAGGTTAACAATAATGTCAAGATGAAAATTTAAAAATGTAAACATCAAAATGAATGATAATAGTGACAAAAGTTATGAAAATCCCTACAAAACAGCAAAAGCACTGCTAAGAGCATTTGCAGTGCTAAATGCCTACATCAAAAAGTCTGAAAGGACACAAACTGACTACCTAATTTCACACCTCAAGAAACTAGAGAAACAAGATCAAAACAAATCCAAAGCTAACATATGAAAAGAAATAAAGATTAGAGCAGAACTAAATGAAATTAAAACAAAAAAATCCCAAAAGATCAATAGAACAAAAAGCTGCTTCTTTGAAAAGAAACAAAATTGATAAGCCGTTGGCTAGATTAACGAATATATAAGAGAATTTCCAATGAGCTATAGTGAAATGAAACTGGAGACTTTACAGCCAACATACAATATCAACACAATATAGAAATACATACAACCAACATAATATAGAAATACAAAAGACCATTCAAGACTACTGTGAACATTTCTATGTACACAAACTAGAAAATCTAGAGGAAATAGATAAAGTCCTGGAAACATACTACCCTCCTAGAATAAAGGAATAAAAAATAGCAACCCTGAACAAACCAATAACAAGCAGCAAGATTTAATCAGTAATTTTTTTAAATGCCAAGAAAAAGATAAGCCCATGGCCAGATAAATCTAGAGCTACATTTTATCAGACACTCAAAGAAGAATTAGTACCAATTCTACTGAAACTATTCCAAAGGATTGAGAAAGAGGTAATCTTCTCTAAGTTATTCTATGAACCCAGTATCACCCTCATACCTAAACCAGTAGTGAGCATAACAAAAAAAGGAAACTACAGACAAATTTTCTTCATGAACATAAATGCAAAAATTCTCAAAGAAATACTAGTTAACCTAATCCAACAGCACACCAAAAAGATAATATGCCATGATCAATTATGTTTCATCTCAGGGATACAAGGATGGCTTAACATACACAAGTCAATAAATGTGACACATCACATAAACAGAACTAAAAAGAATTATACAATTATCTAAATATAAGCAGAAAAAGCACGATAAAATCTTGTATCACTTTATGATAAAAACACTCAACAAACTAGGCATAGAATGAACTTATCTCAAAATAATAAAAGCCATATATGACAAACCCACAGCCAACATCACACTGAATATAATGATTTACCCTAAGAACTGGAATAAGAAAAGGATACCCACTTAGACCACTTCTATTCAACAGAGTACTGGAAGTTCTGGCCAGAGCAATCCGGCAGGATAAAACACATAGGGCATCCCAATTGGAAAAGAGAAAGTAAAACTATCGCCATTTGCTAATGATATAATTTTATACCTATAAAACCCTAAAGATTCCTCCAAAAGAATCCTAGATTCGATAAACAAATATAGTGAAGTCACAGGATAAAAAATCAATGTACACAAATCAATGGCACTGCTATACACCAACAGTGACCAAGCTGAAAATCAAATCAAGAAGTCTCTTTTACAATAGCTGAAAAAATATAAAAATATCTAGGAATATAAGTAAACAAGAAAGTGAAGAATCTGTAGAAGGAGAAATACAAAACATTGCTGGAAGAAAACAGAGATGACAGGTTGGGCACAGTGGCTCACGCCTGTAATCCCAGAACTTTGGGAGGATGAGGCGGACAGATCACGAGGTCAGGAGATCAAGACCATCTGGGCTAACACAGTGAAACCCTGTCTCTACTAAAACTACAAAAAATTAGCCGGGCATGGTGGCACACGCCTGTAGTCCCAGCTACTCAGGAGGCTGAGGCAGGAGAATCACTTAAACCCAGGAGACGGAGGTTTCAGTGAGCCAAGATCATGCTACTGCACACCAACATGGGCGACAGAATGAGACACCATCTCAAAAACAAAACAAAACAAAAAAACAGAGATGACACAAACAAATGTAGATGCATCTGATGCTCATGGATAGAAACTCAATCAATATTGTGAAAATCACCACACTGCCCAAAGCAATCTACAGATTAAATGCAATTTCCATCAAGATACCAACATTATTTTTTACAGAACTAGACAAAACAATCTTAAAATTTATATGGAATCAAAAAAGAGCCTTAATAGGCAAAGGAATGCTAAGGAAAGAGAACATATTTGGAAATATTACACAACCAGACTACAAGTTATATTACAAGGCTGTATTTACCAAAATAGCATGATACTTTTATAAAAGTAGGCACACAGACCAGTGAAACAGAAGAGAATACTCAGGAATAAGGTCAGATACTTATAAACAACTGATATTTGATATAACATACAAAAACATAAAATAGAGAAAAGGCATTCTATTTAATAAATTGTGCCTAGAAAACTCACGAGCCAGCCTGGGTGCGGTGGCTCACACCTGTAATCCAAGCACTTTGGGAGTCTGAGGCAGGTGGATCACCTGGGATCAGGAGTTCGAGACCAGCCTGGCCAACATGGTGAAACCCTGTCTCTACTAGAAATATAAAAAATTAGCCGGGTGTGGTGGCATGTGCCTGTAATCCCAGCTACTTAGGAGGCTGACGCGGTAGGATTGCTTGATCCTGGGAGGCAGAGGTTGCAGTGAGCCAAGATCATGCCACGACATTCCAGCCTGAGCAACAGAGCAAGACTACATCTCAGAAACAAACAAACAAAAAAACAAAGAAAGACAAAAGAAAACTGGCTAGCCACATGTAGAAGAATGAAACTGGATACCTATCTTTCACCTTATACAAAAATCAACTCAAGATGAATGAAAGATGTAAATCTAAGACCTGAAACCATAACAATTCTAGAATATATCCTTGGAAAAACTCTTCTGGATATTGGCCTAAGCAGAGAATTCATGACCAATATCCTGTATTAGTCTCTTCTCCCATTGTGATAAAGAAATACCTGAGGCCAGAACATTTATAAAGAAAAGAGGCCTCATTGGCTCTTGGTTCTGCATACTGTACAGGAAGCATGGTGACATCAGCTTCTGGGAAGACCTCAGGGAACTTACACTCATGGAAAAAGTTGAAATGGGAGCCAGCACAACACAAGGCTGGAGTAGGAGAAAGAAAGCGAAGAGGTGCTACACCCTTTTAAACAAGCAGATCTCATAATAACTCACTCCCTATCATAAGAACAGCACTGAGGAAATGGTGCTAGCCAATTTATGAGAACTTTGCCCCCATGATCCAGTCACCTCCCACCAGGTCCCACCTTCAAAACTGGGGCTTACAATTAGACATGAGATTTGGGGAAACACAGACCCAAACCTTATTATTCTGACCGTGGCCTCTCCAAATCTCATGTCCTTCTCACATTTCAAAATACAATTATTCCTCCTCAACAGTTCCCCAGAATCTTAACTCATTCCAGCATTAACTCAAAAGTCTAAAGTTCAAAGTTATCAGGCCACTGAGCCCAAGCTAAGCCATCATATCCCCTGTGACCTGCATGTGTATATCCGGATTGCCTGAAGTAACTGAAGAATCACAAAAGAAGTGAAAATGGCCTGTTCCTGCCTTAACTGATGACATTACCTTGTGAAATTCCTTCTCCTGGTTCATCCTGGCTCAAAAGCTCCCCTACTGACCACCTTGTGTCCCCTGCCCCTGCCAGTCAGAGAAAAACCCCCTTTGACTGTAATTTTCCACTCCCTACCCAAATCCTATAAAACGGCCCCACCCCATCTCCCTTTGCTGACTCTCTTTTCGGACTCAGCCCACCTGCACCCAGGTGAAATAAACAGCCTTGTTGCTCACACAAAGCCTGTTTGGTGGTCTCTTCACATGGACGCGAGTGAAAAGAGTCTCATCTGAGATAAGACAAGTGTCTTCCACCTATACACCTCTAAAATCAAAAACAAGTTATTTACTTCCAAGATACAATGGTGATACAAGCATTTGATAGATACTTCCATTTTAAAGTGGAAGAGTTGGCCAAAGAAAGGAGCTGCAGGACCCACGAAGTCCAAAACCCAACAGGGCAGTCATTAAACCTTAAAGCTCCAAAATAATCTAGCTCACTAAAATGCTAATTAGGCAAAAACAGGAGGTAAAGAAATAGCCAATCATCTACCACCTGAGAGCACAGTGGGAGGGACAATGACTGGGACATAAACCCAGGCATTCAAGCCCGCAACGGCTACCCTCTTTGGGTCCCCTCCCTTTGTATGGGAGCTGTTTTCACTCTATTTCACTCTATTAAATCTTGCAACTGCACTCTTCTGGTCCGTGTTTGTTATGGCTTAAGCTGAGCTTTCGCTCGCTGTCCACCACTGCTGTTTGCTGCCCTCGCAGACCCACCACCGACTTCCATCCGTACAGATCAGGCAGGGTGTTCACTGTGCTCCTGATCCAGTGAGGCGCCCATTGCTGCTTCCGATTGGGCTAAAGGCTCGCCATTGTTCCTGCACTGCTAAGTGCCCGGGTTCATTCTAATCAAGTTGAACACTAGTCACTGGGTTCCACGGTTCTCTTCTGTGACCCACAGCTTCTAATAGAGCTATAACACTCACTGCATGGCCCAAGATTTCTTTCGTTGGAATCCGTGAGGCCAAGAACCCCATGTCAGAGAACACGAGGCTTGCTACCATCTTGGAAGTGGCCCGTGGCCATTTTGGAAGTGACCCACCTGTAGGGGTGGTTTGCCCCTCCACACCTGTGGGTGTTTCTCGTAAGGTGGAACGAGAGACTTAGGAAAGAAAGAGACACAGAGACAAAGTATAGAGAAAGAAATAAGGGGACCCGGGGAACCAGCGTTCAGCATATGGAGGATCCCCCCAGCCTCTGAGTTCCCTTAGTATTTATTGATCATTCGTGGGTGTTTCTCAAAGAGGGGGATGTGTCAGGGTCACAAGACAATTGTGGGGAGAGGGTCAGCAGACAAACACGTGAACAAAGGTCTTTGCATCATAGACAATGTAAAGGATTAAGTGCTGTGCTTTTAGATATGCATACACATAAACATCTCAATGCTTTACAAAGCAGTATTGCTGCCCGCAGGTCCCACCTCCAGCCCTAAGGCGGTTTTTCCCTATCTCAGTAGATGGAGCATACAATCGGGTTTTACACCGAGACATTCCATTGCCCAGGGACAGGCAGGAGACAGATGCCTTCCTCTTGTCTCAACTGCAAGAGGCATTCCTTCCTCTTTTACTAATCCTCCTCAGCACAGACCCTTTACGGGTGTCGGGCTGGGGGACGGTCAGGTCTTTCCCTTCCCACGAGGCTGTATTTCAGACTATCACATGGGGAGAAACCTTGGACAATACCTGGCTTTCCTAGGCAGAGGTCCCTGCGGCCTTCTGCAGTTTTTGTGTCCCTGGGTACTTGAGATTAGGGAGTGGTGATGACTCTTAAGGAGCGTGCTGCCTTCAAGCATCTGTTTAACAAAGCACGTCTTGCACCGCCCTTAATCCATTTAACTCTGAGTTTGACACAGCACATGTTTCAGAGAGCACGGGGTTGGGGGTGAGGTTATAGATTAACAGAATCTCAAGGCAGAAGAATTTTTCTTAGTACAGAACAAAATGGAGTCTCCTATGTCTACTTCTTTCTACACAGACACAGTAACAATCTGATCTCTCTTGCTTTTCCCCACACCCACCGCCATCTTGGGAGCTCTGGGAGCAAGGACCTCCTGGTAACACTTTGACTCCATGTCTCACATACAGGGCATACTGGTGCAAAGGGTGTGCTCCCAAGGCCTTGGACAGCCCCACACTTGTGAATTTCCAGGTTCAGCCCCCACAGCTGCTTCTTATAGGCTCTGCAGCTTTTCCAGAAGCACAGTGCAAGCTGCCAGCATATCAACCATTCTGGGATCTGGAGGATGCTGGTCCTCTTTTTACATCTCTGCTAGGCAATGCCTCAGTGGGGACTCCATGTAGGGGATACAACCCTACATTTCCCCTTAATGCTTCTTTATTAGAGGTTGCCCATAAAGGCTCTGCCACTGCAGCAGGCTTCTGCCTAGACATTCAGGCTTTTCCATACATCTTCTGAAATCTAGGTGAACTCAACTCTTGCACTCTGTGCACCCACAGGCTTCAACACCACATGAAAGCTGCCAAGGCTTATGGCTTGCACCCTCTGAAGCAGCACCCTGAGTTTTACCTGAACCCCTTTGAGCTATGGCTGGATGGCTGGAACTGAAGTAACTAGCATGCAGGGAACAGTGTCTTGAGGCTGCATAGGGCAATGGGGCACTGGGACCAGCCCCGGAAATCATTATTCCCTCCTAAGTCTCAGGGCATGTAATTAAAGGGGCTGCAATGAAGGAATCTGAAATGCTTTGTTGGCCTTTTCCCCATTGTCTTAGATATAACCGCTTGCCTTCCTTTTAGTTATGCTGATTTCTACAGCCTGCTTGAATTACTCCCCTGAAAATTGGCTTTTCTTTTCTATCACCTAAGTGAGCTGCAAATTTTCCAAACTTTTATCCTCTGCTTCCCTTTTAAATGTAAGTTCCAGTCTCAGGCCATTTGTCTGTTCACATGTATAAACTTAGGTGGTTAGAAGCAGCCAGGTCACATTTTGGACACTCTGCTGCTCAGAAATTTCTTCCACCCAATACACTAAATCATCTATCTCAACTCTCTCAAGTTCAAAGTTTCTCAAAATCCTAGGGCAGGGGCAAAATTCCTTCAACTTCTTTGCTAAGGCATAACAAAAGTGACCTTAGCTCCAGTTCTCAAAAAGTTCCTCATCTTCATCTGAGACCTCCTTAGCCTGGCTTTCACGGTCCATATTACCATCAGCATTTTGATCCCAGTTTAAGCAGTCTCTAGGAAGTTCCAAATTTTCCCTCATTTTCCTGTCTTCTTCTAAGCCCTCCAGACTCTTTTTTTTCTATTTTTTTTTAGATGGAATCTCTCTCTGTCGCCCAGCCTGGAGTACAGTGGCATGATCTCAGCTCACTGCAAGCTCCGCCTGCTGGGTTCATGCCATTCTCCTGCCTCAGCCTCCCGAGTAGCTGGGACTACAGGTGTCCGCCACCACGTCCGGCTAATTTTTTTGTATTTTTAGTAGAGACAGGGTTTCACCGTGTTAGCCAGGATGGTCTCAATCTCCTGACCTCGTGATCCACCCACCTAGGCCTCCCAAAGTGCTGGGATTACAGGCGTGAGCCACTGAACCCGGCATGACTGTTACATAATTCCAACATTGCTTCTGCGTTTTCACGTATCTTGATAGCAATGCCACACTCCTTGGTACCAATTTCCTTTATTAGTTCAATCTTGCATTGCCATAAAGAAATACCTGAGACTGGGTAATTTATAAAGAAAAGAGGTTTAATTGACTCATGGTTCTGCAAGCTGTATAAAATCATGGCAGCATAATCTTCTAGGAAAGCCTCAGGGAACTTACAATCATGGTGACAAGTGAAGGGGAAGCCAGCACTTCTCATGGCTGAAGCAGGAGAAAGAGAGGGAGGGAGGAGGGACTACATGATTTTAAATTACCAGATCGTCCAATAAGTCACTCACTCACTCACTCACTCACTCAACACTCACTCACTATCACAAGAGTAGCACTGAAAGGGAGATGTTAATCCATTCGTGCCTCCAACACTGGAAATTACAATTTGACATGAGATTTGGTGGGAACACAGACTCAAACCATATCAGCCCCTGAAAGCAAATGCAACAAAAACAAAAATAAATACATGGGACCAAATTTAATTAAAAAGCTTCTGCAAAGCCAAAGAAATTATCATCAGAAAAAAACAGACAACACACAGAATGGGAGAAAATATTTGCAAACTATATGGTAAACAAAGAACTAGTGTCCAGAATCTACAAGAAACTTTAACAAATTAGCAAGAAAAAAAAAAATAATCCCGTTAAAAAGTTGGCAATTGACATTGTGAACTCAAAATATCTGAGACAGGTCTCAGTCAATTTGGAAAGTTTCTTTTGCCAAAGTTAAGGACATGTGCCCATGACACAGCCTCAGGAGGTCCCAGTGACATGTGCCCAAGGTGATAAGAGCACAACTTGGTTTTATACATTTTTAGGGAGACATAAGACATCAATCAACATATATAAGTTGCACATTGGTTCAGCCCAGAAAGGTGGAACAACTCAAAGCAGGGTTGGGGTTTCCAGGTCATAAGTGGGTGAAGGACAAACAGTTGCATTTCTTTGATTTCCTGATTAGCCTTTCCAAAGGAGGCAATCAGATATGCATTTATCTCAGTGAGCAGAGGGGTGACTTTGTATAGAATGGGAGTCAGATTTGCCCTAAGCAGTTTCCAGTCTGACTTTTCCCTTTAGTGTAGTTATTTTGAGGCCCAAGATTCATTTTCCTTTTATATTTCTCCCCTTTATAAAACCTTTCAGAGAAATCTTTTTTTTTTTTTTTTTTTGTCTCTGGTCTCAGGTTTCCTCTTATTTCTCATGGCCAGGGTGGTTTATTTCTAGATGGGTAGGTCCCATGTTATTAGACAAACTCACTTTTAGCAGGTTGTGAAGTCCAATGTTCTAGGAAGAGATAATAGAGGGAGAAAGAGAGAAAAAAAAATGAACAAAAAATAGAAATCCTGGAAAGTTGATATAGGCCATATTACTCTGCCATACATTAGTAGGTAGGTATAAAAGTGGCTTATACATGTAAATAGGTTGCTGTTATTTTCTTCTGTAGTTTAAGTTGTATGGCTTCTGTTTGCAGGGATTTAAGAAAGCACAGCTTAATATTCAATGATTTCAAATTAGAAAAAAATTGAGGGAAAAGAAAAGAAAGAAGGAAAAAATATAAAAATGTTATTTTGGAGACTTATAGCCAGGAAAAATTAGAATTCAGTCCAAACTACAAAATAATAAAA